>NT_187597.1:0-103832 GCF_000001405.40 Homo sapiens
TGGAACCAATTGATCCCATAAAGCAACTACACAATTGAGACAACAAAGCAACTAAGTAAACACACAACAGGAACAAAACTTCAGATATCAATATTAATATTGAACATAAATGGCCTAAATCCTCAATTTAAAAGACATGGAGCAGCATATTAGATTTAAAAAAAAATACCCATTCATCTGTTGCCTTCAAGAAACCCACCTCACATGTAACAACACCCATATGCTCAAAGTAAAGCAATAGAGAAAGATGTATCACAAAAATGGGAAATAAAAAAGAGCAGGGATCACTATTCTTGTATCAAATAAAATAGACATTAAACCAACAACAGTAAAAAAGGACAAAGAAGGGCATTACATAATAGTAAAAATTCAAGAAGACTTAACTATCCAAAATATATACACATCAAACATTGGATCACCCAGATTTATAAAACAATTACTTCTAGAACTAAAGAAATAATTTGACAGCCACACGATGACAGCAGAGACTTCAAACCTTAATGACAACATTAGACAGATAACAGAGGCAGAAACAAAGAAATTCTGGACTTAATTTCAACACTGGACCAACTGGGTCCAGTAGACATCTAAAGAATACTCTACCCAACCACAGAATGTATTTTCTCGTTCGCACATGAAACATACTCTAAGATTTATGCTCAGTCATAAAGCAAGTCTCTGTAAATTAAAAAAAAAGTATACCAATCATCTCTCAGACCACAATGAAATAGAAATTAATACCAGAAAGAAATCTTAAGCCACACAAATTTATAAAAACTAAACAATTTGCTGCTGCCTAGGTCAATGTCTAGAATATTTCCTAAATTTTCTTCTATGATTTTTGTAGTTTGAGGTCTTACATTACATCTTTAATTCATCTTGAGTCAATTTTTGTATATGGTGAGAGGTAGGAGTCCGGCTTTACTCTTCTGCCTATGGCTAGACAGTTTTCCCCACACCACTTATTGAATAGGGTATCCTTTTTGCATCACTTATTGTTGTTGACTTTGTCAAAGATCAGCTGGAAGACATAGGGGAAAAACTATATCACATTAGTTTGGACAATAATTTTTGGGATATAAATCCCAAAGCACAGACAACAAAAGCAAAAATAAAGTGGATTACATAAAACTAAAAAGCTTTTGGACAGCAAAGGAAACAATAAGCAAGGTGAAGAGACAATATACAGAATAAGTTGTAACAATATTTGCAAACCATATATCTGATAAGAGGCTAACATCCAGCTTATATAAAGAACTTAAAGAACTCAATAGCAAGAAAACAATGTTAGTTGAAATAGCAAGGCACAGAACTATATAAAGTAAAAACTGTCAGAACTAATATTTCTTCATAGAAAATATAATATTTCTTTAGAACAAACATAACAATGATGAAGAATATAATAAAACGACTCATAAGATAAAGGTAAAATAATTTAATTATAAAAATCAATAATTATATTACAATAATTGTGCAATCTCAATTACAACTCCAGATGATAAATTCAAAACATATAAAGTAGGATATTGTGAAGAAACCCTTTATTTTGAAAGTAATGAGGTGATAGTAATTCTCTACCTTATAGTTGACTATAATTTTAATTATATTCGTTAAAAAGTGAAAGTTAACCACTAGAAAGATAGCAAAGAATATATTACATTCAAAATACTACATAAAAATTATAAATCCAACTAAAGAAAAACATAATAGTAAAGCAAAAATATTCAATATTTACTTTTAATAAAAAGAGAAATTATAAATTAAGAAAGATTAAAAAGGCCCAATTATATCAATATAAAATATAAATTAAGAGCATTTTGTGTAATACTATTTGTATTAAATCACAATGTTTAAGGTGGTAATTAGGTTTTTAAACATCTGTTTTGAAGTATTTTTACATTCAATATTTAATTTTTCTCTTAATAGTTTCTTTTTTATGCTATATAAGAAAATTATAAAGATGGTATAATGGGTGCTCATAAACAAGTCCTGTACATTCAGAAAATGCTGTCTGGACCATTCATTTGGATTAGATGACACATTTTAAAATCTTGAATAAATTATCTTTATTGTATTAATTAGTTATAAGCTCAGCGTTCTCAAAATATAGACATGTACACAAGAAATATACTAATGTCATCTAGTATTACACTGAAAATTAAAGGGATTAAAAATATATGAAATATATAACATTATATTTAGTTATTTAATATAATTATATTTAACATAATATATTACATATTTTAAAAGCATTAGTATTTCACTGGAACCTATAGCAGAACAGTTAACATTGTCATTTCTGAAAAGTTTGTGAATCCCCTGCTGTGCCAAGTCAGCAAAGTCACTTCTTTAGTGGCTAAATTTTGGCAAGACATCTCCACATGGAGATTTCCAATTATAGAAATGGTGGACTGACTTATTTAAATTCACAGCAGAGAGTAAAGAACTGTACAAAATTTTTCAAAAATGAATAAAGCATTTGAAAGCTACCAAAGGAGAAAAAACTCTCAATGAGTAAGAATCAGGGCAAAGGATAATCTGTAAAGGTAAGATCAACAACTGGCACTTCTTTTGAGGCACTTGCCAACTATAAAGCCGAAAGTGAGAGGCTGAGAAGCTGAATGCAGTTGCCAATAATTGCATGGGGACCTTTACCTTTTCTTGTCTATAGTCCATGAAAAAATTTTAGTATTACAAATACCATTCACTCACAATGTTTTTTCCCAGGAAAGTTCTCTTTGTCGGCCATATCATAAGCTGTATCCTAGGTAGATAATTTAATATTGGCTAGATTATTTAATGCCACACCTTTATTATTATTTCTGTTTTTCTCAGTTTTTGGATTTTTCAGGATCATCTTGATAGAAGAAAAGGCTGAAAATGATATTCCAATTTATTACTGCATTTGTCTTGGGGCACTTTTTTATTGAAATGACTTAAATCTATTGGGAAGTAGAAACTATGGGTTTGATGAAGATGCAGCCCACACATCTCTGATCAAACCTTTGACTCTTACTATCACTGTCAAAATAAACTGATGTGAATTATGGAAAAAGAGAGTTATCATTTTTAACTGCTAAGAGTCCAAGAAGAGACCTAACACACAACCAGGTTTTCAGTTGGTAATTGTGAAGGACTACACACAGGATATGAGGATGAACTTGTAAGGGACCAGCCCTCATGATGACTGAAACCACGATTTGAATCCGTTCACTACCCAATTGGATTAGTTCTGCCTCCAACAAAGTTGCTTTCTTTGAGAAAAAGTACATTATCTCTGAAGAAAGATAGCAGCAACTATGACCTTAAGTTATGCTTAAATACTTAAATTTATTTCTATGCAATGCCCAGCACTGAATCAAAAGTAACCAAGCATATGAAGAGAGAGTCATATAACAAAAATAAAGAGGAATAAAAGATGATGTCACCCCCACCCCCCCAAAACCAGGGTTCATTAACTTGACAAACATTCATGAGAATGCAGGTTTTGATCAATTGGAGTTTTATTACTTGTTAAAAGTAAGAAGAACACCAAGAATATTCTCCAAAGCAGTGTCTCCTCAAGAGAGAGTGACAAGAGGGCTTTATGGGGCAATGGAGAGGGTACATTATCTTATGTAAAGGAGGGGTCCCTGTAGCACAAACTCAGGGAGTCACCCTGCCACCCTGTGGGTTGCATGTCATGGAAATGAAGCTACAGATCCTTCCAGGGTGGAGATGTTAGCATGGTAATGAGAAAAGTTCACTGGGCTTCACTTGTAAGTTACTGAGGTCTGTCGGGAACTGGTTTCAACCAGTAGGTGATTGCACATCACACAGATATTGCAAAAAACAGGCTGTAAGATAGAAAACTATAAAGCAGGCAGATTGCTCAAGCCAGTTGAATTCCTATAGTCCCTGGAAACCCTCTCTATTTACCGTGGTAGACAGACACTAAAGGAGATTCAGATTTAGATTAATTAGCCATAAATTTTAACAGAACTATGATAAACATGTATTCAAAATGTGACAATATTGTATGAAGAATGTGAAGAAATAGCTGGACAGAATTACAAAAGGAAAGTAAGTACTTCTAGAACTGAAAAATACAAAAACTAAAATTAAGAATGTAACAAAAGCAACCTGAGTCTTATCTGAGAGAAATAGTGAACTGGAAGATGAGTCAGAAAAACATACAGAAATACAGCATGAAGAAAACAAAGAAAAGGAAGATGAGGAAAAATATTTATGTGATACGGGGACTCAGTGAGCTGGCTAAATTGATGAATATTTTGAGAACCAGAAGGAGAAAAGAGGTTGGCAGAAACAATATTTGAAGACGTAAAGTTTGAAAATTTTTCAAAAGTGACAAAAATGTATCAGTGACCCAAGAATCATTATGAATTTCAAGTAGGATAAATAAAAAGAAAACTATGCTGCCAAGCTACCTCCAACACCGCCCTCCACCAACTAAAACACACACACACACACACACACACACACACACACACACACACACCGGTTACAAACCAAATACAAAAAAAGAAATCTTAAAATTAACTAGTGAAGGTAAGCCATATTACCTTCAACGAGGCAGAGAAAGCATATAATAAAACTTGACTTCCATTCACAATTTAAAACGTTATTAAATCTGGGATAATAAAAACTTTTCTAACCCTAATAAAGGCTGTATACCAAAATACTGTACAAAAGATAAGTACATAATTAGATATATGGTAAAATTTTGAAAAACTCTAATTCTATGATTTAGATAATATGGTAGTTATAATAAATGGAAGTAAACAAATTGGTTAAATATTTGGAGAAAATAGAATTCCCGTCATAATAACCACAAAAAATCAGTTCCAGATACACTGGATACACAAAAATTAAGGTAAAATCAGAAAGACAAGAGTATAATATAATTGTGTACCTGTATTATGTATAGTTCTTAAATATTTCTTTGAAAGTTTACAATAATCACTAACCATAACAGAAATGGTTAATTAGACTCCACTAAACTGAGAATTTCTGTTTACCAAAAGCAATTCATAAGAGAGTAAAAAACAAGCTGTAGAATATTTTTTATCTCTGTAGGATCAACATTTGCAGCAACATGGACGGAACTGAAGGTCACTATGTGAAGTTAAATAAGCCAGGCACAGAAAGACAGGGTATCACATGTACTCACTCATATGTGGGAAGGTAAAAAAGTTGGCTGCCAAGAATAGTGGGGAGAGAGGGATGAAGAGGGATTCATTAATGGGTACAGACATGCAGTTAGATAGATGGCAGAAGTTTAGCATTTGATAGCACAGTGGGATGACTGTAGTTAACAATAATTTCTTGTCTGTTTCAAAAATAGCTAGAAAAGAAAAAATTGGGAAGTTCCCAACACAAAGAAATTATAAATATTTGAGGTGATGAATATTTCAATTACCCTGATTTGTTCATTGAACACTGTATGCATGTATCAAAATGTCACATTTACCTCATAAATATATACAATTATTATGTACCAATAAAAGAGAGTAGCAGAAGATATGTTTAACATATTGCCAAATAATTTGAATTTGTAAGATATATAAAAGAAAAAATAAACAGAATAAAAGAACAAGCAACGTAAACATGATTTCACAAAGGAAGCTATCCAACTGGCCAATGAATACATTAAATGTATTTAACCTTATTAGCCTTCAAAAAAAGTAAAAAATACCACTATACTCCTGAAAAACAATGACTAAATGACTAAAGTGTAAAAGGCCAACAGTACTAAATATTGTCAAAGATTTGGATTAAGTGAAACACTGATATACTGCTTGTGAGATATTAACAGAAAAATCCCTTTTTAAAATTGTCTGTCACTATCTAATAAAGCTAAATACACACAATCTATGATCCTTAATTTTCACTGTAAGAAATTTAGCAAATATAAGCAGCAAGAAACATGAAAGGAATATTCATAACAATAGGAAAGTTAAAGGCCTTAAAATGGAAGTAACACAAATATTCATCAATAGTGGAATGAATAATTTGAGCACCATTCTTATAATAGAAAACATTATGACAATGAAATGATGATAAACTTCAAAAATAAAAATGGTGACTGCAAGAGACCAGATACACACGAAGACAAATGTTACGATTCCCTTTACATAAAGTCTACAAACAAGGTAAACTAATCTGGCACTAGAAGTCAAGATGATAGTTACTCCTCAGGAAACGCGTGGGAATATTTCATGGGGTTACACGAGGAAGCATCTGGAATGCCCTACTATATATGCCTGGATCTTGGTGAAGTTGCACAGGTGTGTTTACTTTAAGATCTTTTGTGCATTTGTGTATTCATGATTTGTTCTACTTTCTTATTGCCTTTTATACTTCACTAAGTTTTTTAAAAAATAAAACCCAAGAGCATTCCCAGAGGGTGGTTTACCATGGTCAAAGCAGCATGTGGTTCACAGGAAATAGATTCCTACCATGAGTTTTTGAAGCATTTCAATATTTTAATATCCAGTACACTCATACTGTTGTATACGGCTTGAATGTCAGTTCTGGCTGTGCATGAGGAAGCCTGTTCAGAATTGCCAAGTAAAGCTCTGGGCTGGAATTTAGCGCTACTTCAAGCAGGAATTATCAACAAACGAGAAGTAAGAAGTCTTTAGCCAGTTCACAATCTAAAGAGCTATGTCTAAACTCCCAGGATCTTAATGTTAATTTATATTTTGTGGTGAGGCAGAGAAGCTTTGTGATTTTTTTTTTGTCCTTAATAATAGGAGTATTATTTGGGAGTAGTAGGTTGTTTAAATGTTACATACATTTCTGAAGGGCAGTGAGAAAAAATTTCTTATCTTCTGATTTTCACAGTCTATGCTTTGTTGAGGAAAAAAGAATCCTTCTGGTAACAGAAAAATAGTCATTTTATTTTTTCAGAGTAGCACTGCAGATTTTGTTTTATCTTTTCTGGAAAGAAAAAGTAATATTTATAATCTTAGAACTGAAGGAATTTCAAACTTCCATTTTGTCTGATAGGATATTATCAGCCAAACCATCCCATAAACAACAAAGGTAACAACTATAAGCTATTAACAAAATGAAAAGAAAACAAAACAACAGCAAATATCTGACCTCACTGGAAAGCAACCAAATACCGGCAGATTCTAGAGGGAGTTTAAGTTTGGAATAAGAGAATGGTATTGAGTGTTCCACTACTCATGGCTTCTAGCCTGAGGTCTGCAGTCTTCACCATGCCACATGGTTAAAATGTCAATTAAAAAATTCATAGTATTTTTGACCTGAAAAGCCATTGCAAAGAGTTGAAGCCAACCACATCCATTGAAAATTGGATGGGTAAGGAGTTCTGGAAAGGAGAGAAAAAAGGACAAGTGTTCTGAAGTTTGTGAATACATTCTGTCAAAATCCACAAAATTTGACTAACTCCTGTACCACAAATGTTTGGCTTCAAGCTGCCCATCTGTAAACAAACTGAACTGAGATTTGAGCCACTTCTCACAAGGCTGCTGACAGTTTCAGTCCTACCCATCTGATTGACTGTGAAGGAAGGGAGGAAGGGAGGAAAAAAGGGATGGAGGGAGGGAGGGAAAAAAGCAGGCTCTTTGAAGGAATAGTAACAGAATTCAGAGACTCCAAACATAACCTCACAGTGTCTAGGATATAATACAAAATTTCTCAACATTCAAAGAAAGAGGAAAGTGTGACATCCTCAAGTTAAATGACAACCAATGGAGGCTAAACTTACGATATCCCAGATGTTGGAATTAGTAGATTAGTGGTTATTATCACTATACTCAAGGAAAAAATATTAATTGCAAATGAGAAGTTAAAAAAATACTAACAGAAAAATAGACTCCAAAATAGTTGAAATGTTGCAACTGAAAATTCCAATTTCTGATATAAAAACATTTGCTAGATAGGCTAAAAGCAGAATGGAGATGACACTGAAGAAAATAATCCGCAAACATGTAGATTTGTTAATAAAAATGTGGAAAATTCAAACAGAACCTCAGTAATTTATGGAAACACACACACACACACACACACACACACACACACACACACACACACAAAGCTACATAGAACCTGCATGGAGCAATAGCTAAGTGAAAAATTGGGGGAATTTTCTTTTAATATGGTTGAGATATTTGCAATATGTTGAAGACATAAACTTGCAGATATTTCAAGGGAAGTGAACCCTTTTTTATTTAAATTTTATCTTAAGTTCAATGGTACATGTGCAGGTTTGTTATATAAGTAAACTTGTATCTCAGGAGTTTGTTGTACAGATTATTTTGTTACTTAGATATTAAGCCTAGTACCCATTAGCTATTTTTCTTGATCCTCTCCCTCCTCCCACCCTCCACCCTCCAATAGGCCCCAGGTGTGTGTCGTTCCTCTCTATGTGTCCATGTGTTCTCATTGTTTAGCTTCCATATACAAATGATCACCTGCGGTAGTTGGTTTTCTGTTCCTGTGTTGGTTTGCTAAGTATAATGGCCTCCAGCTTCATCCATGTTTCTGCAAATCACATGATCTTATTTTTTATGGCTGCATAGTATTCTATAATGTATACGTACCACATTTTCTTTATCCAGTCTACCACTGATGATCATTTAGGTTGATTTCATGTCTTTGCTATTGTGAATAGTGCTACAATGAACATACACATGCATGTGTCTTTATACTAGTACGATTTATTTTCCTTTGGGTATATACCCAGTAATAGGATTGCTGGGTTGAATGGTATTACTGTTTTTATGTCTTTGAGGAATCACACTGTCTTCCACAATGAGTGAACTAATTTACACTCCCACCAACAGTATATAAGCATTTTTTTTCCACAGCCTCGCCAACATCTGTTATTTTGTTGACTTTACAATAATAGATGATATAATAGATATCTCATTGTGGTTTCAATTTGCATTTCTCTAATGATCAATGATGTTGAGCTTTTTTTCATATAATTGTTGGCTGCATGTATGCTTTCTTTTGAAAAATGTCTGTTTATGTCCTTTGCCCACTTTTTTTTAACAGGTTTGTTTTTTCTTGTAAATTTTTTAAGTTTCTTATAAATACTGGATATTAGACCCTTGTCAGATGCATAGTTTGCAAAAATTTTCTCCCGTTCTGTAGGTTGTCTATTCACTCTGTTGATAGTTTCCCTTGCTGTGCAGAAGCGGTTTAATTAGATCCCATTTGTCGATTTTTGTTTTGTTGCAATTGCTTTTGGTGTCGTATGAAATTTTTGCCTGTTCCTATGTCCAGAATGCCTAGGTTGTCTTTCAGGGTTTTATAGTTATAGGTTTTATATCTAAGTCTTTAATCCATCTTGAGTTGATTTTGTATATGGTGTAAGGAAAGGGTTCAGTTTTAATCTGCATATGGCTAGCCATTTATCATAGCAACATTTGTTGAATAGGTGATCCTTCCCATATTGCTTGTTTTTGTCAGGTTTGTCAAAGATTAGATGGTTTTAGGTGTGTGGCCTTACTTCTGAGTTCTCTATTCTGTTCCACAGGTCTATGTGTCTCTTTTTATACCAGTAACCTGCTGTTTTGATTAATATGCCCTGTAGAATAATATGAAGTTTGGTAGCATGATGCCTCCAGCTTTGTTCTTTCTGCTTAGGATTGTCTTTGCTGTTTGGGCTGTTTTTTGAAATACAAAGAAAACCACACTTAAGCACACTATAGTCAATCTACTGTAAACAAAGATTAAGAGAATATATAATGACATGCAAAAGAACAATGCTACAAATACATAAACTGCTGACTCCTGTTCAGAAAAATGGAGGACATAAGGAAGCGGAACAAGTTTTAAATGCTGAAGTGTGAGGGAGGGTGGGGACAATGACAATCTAGACCAGCAAAAGCATTCTTTAAAAATGAATATGAAATTTTAAAAAAATTCAAAAAATATAGAGCATAAAGAATTTACTGATATCAGACCTTCACTGGAAAAATACTAGAAAATACTCTGCTTTGAAGGAATAAAATGAACAGAAAATGATAAATATTTTAAGGTAATAATCATACTTTAAAGCGTTTTTAAACTCAGTTAGATCTTAATGGCTGATAATGCACTCAATTGCTATTTGTTTAGTTCTTAACATTGAACTTATGACCAGGCATCTGTGTATCTATCTGAAATGTAAGCTTATGTAAAATAAGGAACTATTTTTAATTTACCTGTATGTTTCTCAGTATGTTACATAGTTTCTGCTCTATGGCATATAATGCCTGTTAGAATTTTGACATGTTTCAGTCTTTATGAAGGGTTTAACACAAATTGTGTTTCCATCATAATAATCACGTGAAGTTCACATTTTTTCCTGTATAAATGAAAACTTAGACAGTGACAAGCGCAAGGTTACTCCATATAGAAGTGCGTAAACGTTTGAGTCTGAGTTTCCACTCTATCTCTGATGATACACATCCTGATGGTATTTCTGGATTTAAAACAAATGAACAGTTAAAACATTATTATTATTCACACCAAATTTAGGTATTTAAGCAATTATTTTATGTGCAGTGGCTCACGCCTGTAACCCCGAACTTTGGGAGGCCATGGCAGGCAGATCACCTGAGGTCCAGAGTTCAAGACCAGGCTGGCCAATATGACAAAACCCCATTTCTACTGAAAATACAAAAATTAGCAAGGTGTGGCGGCAGGTGCCTGTAAGCCCAGTTACTCAGGAGGCTGAGGCAGGAGAATCAATTGAACTTGGGAGGCTGAGGTTGCAGTGAGCCGAGATTGCGCCATTGCACTCCAGCTTGGGTGACAAGAGCAGGTGCGTATCAAAAAATAATAATAATACATAAATAAACGTTATTTTAATAATTAATGGCTTTATATAACATGTAATATTTTCACTGAAGTAACTACCAATATTAGTGATTATGCATCATAGTTAAGAAATTTTGACTACTTCAAATGTATTTTGCTTCCCAAAATTATATGAAAATGGCCCTCATCATTTTGTATCCTCATGCTTCTTTATGTGGTTCTCATTAAATATTTAAAACATCCTAAATGCAATTATGCTACTTTTAATATTATTTTCTTCAAATATTAATTTAGATACATTATTAATAGGAAAGGAAATATTTGCTTTTTATTTTTGTAGTCTCATTTTAATATTACATCTCTTTAAGAGTTTCTTAGTAACATGTATAGTTCTCTATATGACTAGTACAGCGTGACTTTATATTTTGCCTGAGAAAATTAGTGTTATATTTATCCTTTCACAGCAAAATCTTGTTCAAGAACCCAGGAAATATGAAAGAAATGGGAAAACCTAAAGAATATGTCAGCCAGATACAGTGGTGCACACCTGTAGTCCCAGCTACTAAGGAGGCTGATGGGGGAGGATCACTCGAGCCCAGGAGGAGCTGGTTGCAGTAAGCCAAGACTGTGGCACTGCACTCCGGCCTGAACAACAGAGGGAGACACTGTCCTGGAGAAAAATAAAATAAAAATAAATAAAAAATAAAAAATAATAAAAAATAAAAAAACACATATCAGCCAAATGTTTTCATGTAGATCATGGACTACAGACTTCTTTGTCATCCATTAACAGCCTGTTGCACTGATTAAAAAGCATTTGTTAATAAGATAGGAAGCCCCTAATTTTCTAATTCTATGTTTAGTCTGCCAGTTGCTATCTGAAAGCCAGTTTTTTCATGTCCCTTTAAGTTCTTCAACATACATTTGCATGACCCAGAATAATTTCAGGAACATGTAAGAAGCCTAAATCCAGATATTTTTTGTAGAAGAAACCAGAATAGCTTTATTTTCAGTAATATGTGGACAGCTGATAGCCATTTTGTCTAATCTTATATAACCTGAATTAAGATGCCAATTTGTCTTTCCTTCCAGTGAATATATTCACTCATCAAGGAAGCAGCAATGCATGATTGTAGCCTCAAGAAATAAATGACTTTGGTCATGATTGGGTTTCCTTACTTGTCAAAGTGAAAAAAAAATAGACAGATAATAATGTATTAAAGATGAGCCCACAGGCAAAAGATTAGTCTGATTTGTATGTCCCTTCTCTCTGATGTCTTTTTAAGGCATTTGTAAAATGTTTTTAAAGAGGACAAGAAAACGGTAGCATTTTTGACAGATCAAAAGACAACCACATAAACTCAATACATCAACTTATTTATATCAGTTGGCTTATTTTAAACAACAGTGACTTTCTAAGAACATGGATGGACTACCCTAATGATTATATTTCCGCTTGGATGCCATTACAGATGGGAGAGAAAGTGCAAATAAAATAAAACGGTGCCTTTTTCCTCTGGACTTCCGAAAGGTTATAGTATTCTGCCAAAACCAAGGGAGAAAAGAATATTACATTTATACAGGGTAATAATAGCTAAATATCATCTGTGACAATGAGCATTACTATTTCAGGAAGAACTTGACAGCATGTAGCTACTATAAATATATGCTTTAAAAATAAACTGTATATGGGCTGCCCGATATAACTTTATATTTGAGATTGTAGCATGCATGTCCTTGCCTTTAACAGGTACACAATCTCTATATAGTAGGAATTTTACAAATTTATGCCAGAGAAAGTATGTTTGTTAAATATAATGAACAAAAAATATATTCTAGGAGGACATCTAGCAGTTAAAAATGATAACTCTTTTTTCATAATTCACATCAGTTTATTTTGACAGCTATAGTTACAGAGTCAAAGGTTTGATCAGAGATATGTGGGCTCCATCTTCCTCAAACCCATAGTTTCTACTTCCCAGTGGATTTAGTGTCATTTCAATAAAAAAGAGCCCCAAGACAAATGCAGTAATACATTGGAATATCATTTTTAGCCTTTTCTTCTATCAAGATGATCCTGAAAAATCCAGAAACTGAGAAAAACAGAAATAATAATAAAGGTGTGGCATTAAATAATCTAGCCAATATTAAATCATCTACCTAGGATACAGCTTATGATATGGCCGACAAAGAAATTTCCTAGAAAAAAAGACATAATGAGTGAATGTTATTTTTAATACTAACATTTTTTCATGGACCATAGACAAGTAAAGGTAAATGTAAAGATAATTTTACATTCCAATATATTTAATATTTTACATCCAACAATATTCACAGAATCCAACTTAATAAAGTTATCTGTTTGGTAATAAAATCAGTAATAATGAGTCAACTATTTCCATAGAGACTCAATCTTAGATATGCCAGAATTCTTATTTAATCAGGCATGACTTAGTATTTGGGGAACAAAATTCAATGAGTATCTCTCAGTAGCTTAAAAAAAAGAGTTTCTTTTCTGAGGGTCTCTGAAAAGAATATTTGCTAGAATAGTATTTTTTATGGTTTTCGAAAAAATTTATGAGTCTCCTACTCACATTAAAGAGGTGTTAAATGTTTCTTCATAGATGGATTGTCAGGCAAGAATAGCAAAAATCTTCCCAGGGGTGTCGGATAACGATGATGCAAAACAACATGATAAGACAGCCTCGGGTTTTGTTTATGACATGAAGCATAAAATCACAGAAAAGGTTATTGATTGCTTACACTGTGCAAGTTTTACAACATTCTCATAACCCTCCCCCACCACACACACACACACACACACACACACACACACACACACCAATGTTTCTCAAGCTCAGCACTGTTGGTATTCTGCTGTCTGTGGGATAATTTGTTGTGTGGGGTTGCAGGCAGTGTACATTGCAAGATTTTAAGCAGTATCTAGTGACTAACTCCTTTGTCTATACCCACTAGAATTCAGTAGCACATCTCCATTCCTAGTGTGACAAAAATGAATGGGGATATTGCCAAACATTGCCTGGGAGGCAAAATTTCTTCTGGTTGAGAACCAATGACACAAACGAACTCCACACATGCACATGCACACACATTTATGTATACAAGTGCACACATACATGCACTGTCACTTATTTCCACAACCCCTAAACACCCACATACACACATGTCCACATCTTGACATCCAAACAGCCACACACATGTGCACACACACATACTGACACACCCTGCTCCACACCCCCACATATACCCACACCAATTCACATACATACACCCCATATATAAACACACACCTATAGATCCATAATACACATTAAGCGGTTATATATTATTATGTAAATCATTAAGAAATACTACCCTTTACCTTGAATAATTTGTTGCCATAAAGATAGAGTTTATCTTTATTTTCTCTTGGGATTTAGGGGTACAGTACCTCAAACTGTAAGTGCAGATCTGAATAAATATTTGTTGAATACATTAACAACTGTTTTGTTTTATATTGACATAATGTAGAGCTTATTTTTATCTTTCCTAGTCTTTGATTCCTGAAGGCCCAGAGGGGGGCGTTTAGAGTTTATTTCCACAATGTATTAGAATATATGTTTTTTTTTAAAAATAAGTACTGTACTGGGGTGTTGATTGAACCAATAAATATGAGGTTGATATGTCAGAAAACATTAGTATTAATTTAAATTTCAACAGGGATGAATGATACATGATGCTCTTGTTGAAATAAATTGCATATATAGTTCAGCATTTGTATTATTGTGATTAGAAAAATTGTGAAATCTTCTGTTAAGAAAATAAAATTGAAATTGAATTGCTAGTATGATAGACCTTTAAAGTAGGTTATATTTGCTTTAAGTAGTAAAAATTATTGAACAACTTTTTTACTCTAAAGAAACATACATTTTTATAATGTCCTGTGGAGATTTGTCCACTTGGTGATCAAGGAAATAAAATCAGGCAGAAATTATGTCCTGATTTTTTTTTTTTTTGAGACAGGGTGTTGCTCTGTCACCCAGGCTGGAGTGTAGAGAGGCAAGATCACAGCTCACTGTAGCCTCTACCACCCAGACTCAAACAGTTCTCCCACATCAGCATCACAAGTAGCTGGAGACTACAGGTGTGTACCACCACACCCAGCTAATTTTATTTATTTATTTATTTATTTATTTAGAGACGGGGTCTTGCTATGTCAGCCAGTCTGATCTGAAACCCTGGCCTCAGGCAGTCCTCTCACCTTGGCCTCCCAAAGTGCTCCCAAAATATACCATATTTTTCTTATTCATTCATTTATTAATGAACACTTAGGGTAGTTCCATATCTTGACTACTGTGAATAGATCTACAATATACAGGTCTATTACAAGCATGACCCACCATGCCTGGCCCCTGACATTTTTCAAAAGTTAATTTTTATGTTGAAATTTGCATTAATTTGATCAGTTAAAATCACATTAGTGTAATTCTCCAAGCACTGACTCATTATATTTCCTGGTTCAAAACATTATGCAAGCATAGGTTTATGTCCTCAGAGAGCATGCAATTGATTACTACATCAAGACAGTAGGTGAGCTGGGTATGGTGGTTCATGCCTGTAATCCCAGCACCTTGTGTGGGCCGAGGCAGGAGGATCACTTGAGGCCAAGAGTTTAAGACCAGTCTGGCCAACACTGTGAGACTCCTTTTCTACCAAAAATTTTAAAAGTAGCTTGCTGTGGTGGCATGTAACTGTGGTCCCTGCTGCTTTGGGGGCTGAGGCAGGAAGATCATGTGAGCCCAGGAAGTGAACTGTGATCTTCCCATTGCACTCCAGCCTGGGCTGGAACAAGATTCTGTCTCAGGAAAAAAAAAAAAAAGAAAAAAAAAAAAAGAAAAAAAAAAAGATGGTATGCTTAAGACATATAAATTTCTTCCTTTTTTCTAATTATAATTAAGTATCCTTTGACCAAAATATTTCACGTCCTCCTCCTTGCAAAACACTCCAGCTTCTGATAACCACATTATACTCTCTACTTCCATTACATGAAATTATTTTAGATTACACATGAGTGTGATTATGCAGTATTTGTCTTTTTGTGTGTGCATTATTTCACCTAACATAATGTCCCATAGATTCATTCATGTTGTAGTAAATGACAGGATTTCCTTCTTTGTTATGAGTTAATTGTATTCCATTGTGTCTTTATACCACATTTTCCTTATTAATTCACTTATTGATGAACGCTTAGGTTGGTTCTCTATTTTGACTACTGTGAATAGACCTACAATATACAGGAAAGTAAACCTATCTCTTTGGATATATATGAGACACAAAACTATGCTAAATATAAATAATATTGTCATAAAAATAACAATTTTTAGGTTCCTAAACTGTGTAATTAGATTGTGTTTTGGCATATTGCCATATGACATATATTCATGGATAAAGGGAATATAAGCTTACCTATTAGAAATGTATGAAAAGAATAAACACAACAAAATAAAAGCTTCAGAAGTAACAGAAATGTACACCCTCCAGAATGAAGCACATATTTAATTATTTAATGTTTAAAAGTAGCTAATGTTTATATATGAACAAAATTTAATTGATTTGTCCCACAGTTTCATCAAAGTCACTATGGTAGAACTACCATATGATCTTGTAGGATTACAGGATCATATGGTAGTTCTACTTTTCATTTATTGAGGTACCTGTCATAATGTTTTTCATAAAGTATGTGCAAATTTATATTCCCACCAACAGTATAAAACAGTTCCCTTTTTTCCACATTCTCACCAACACATGTTATTTTATTTTATTTTTTTGATGATACCCACTCTGATTGGGGTGAGGTGATACCTCATTGTGGTCTTGATTTTCATTTCCCAGATGATTAATGAGTTGAACATTTTTTCATATACCTGGCCATTTACACATCTTCTGAGAAATATCTGTCCATACTATACAAAGTGATCAGATTCAATGCAATCCCTATTAAAATATCAACAATGTTCTTCATACAAATAGAAAAAAGAGTTCTAAAATCCTTATGTAATGACAAAAGACCCCAAATAGCCAATTCAATCTTGAGCAAAAAGAACACTGTTGGAAGCATCTCACTAACTGATTTTAAAATATACTACAAAGACACTGTAACCAGGCAGTATGGCCATAGAATAATAACTGACACAAACAATGGAATAGAATAGAGACCCTGGCTATAAATCCATGCATTTATAGCTAACTAATTTTCAACAAAGGTACCAAGAACATACATTGAGGAAAAGACAATCTTTTCAATAAATGGTGTGGACAAAACTGCATATTCACAAGCAGAAGAGTGAAATTAGGCCCTTATCTCTCATGAAATACAAAAATCAACTCAAAACTGATTAAAGACTTAAATGTAAGACCTGAAACTGTGAAACTACTAAATAAAACAGGAAAAACACTTCATGACATTGGTCTAGGTAGGATTATTTGGATAAGATCACTAAAGCACCCACCAGCAATAAAGGCAAAAGTAAACAAATGAGATTACATCAAACTGAAAACCTGCATAGCAAAAGAAACAATCAACAGGATGAGAAGACAGTCTACAGATGAGAGGAAATATTTGCAAACTATACATCTGACAAAGAGTTAATGTACAACATACATAGAAATCCCAAAAAACCTAAATAGCAAAATAACAAGTGACTATATAAAAATGGGCAAAACATTTTATTTTTTTCTATGTGTTTACTGTTGGCTATAGAGACGTAAAAGAGAATTTTTAAAAAATCTGTATTCAAACTTATTTTAAAGTAAATTTGTTTTCACTTCAGAAAATAAATATATTGATACATCTCTCTACCTGAAACACACATAACAAAATTCATTTACACTCATATAATGGGCATCAAATAAATAATAGTATAAGGAAGTTAATTCAACCATTGAAGTATTTATTAAAACATCAAATAATTGCCTTTCATTTAAAGATTTAAGGGCAAAAGTGGGCATCCCTCACTTTAATTGAATAGGAATTCCTTTTCACACCACACAATTTTTTTAAGACTACTGCTAGGTACTCTCTCTAGTCCACAGTTTTATCTGTGACAGGTCTATATCCAGAACTATTAGCATAGACTGACACTACCCTGTCAGTTTGAAACACTGCACTTCTACTTCCATGGTCATCACCTTTTATAACAAAGAGTTTCCAGTTTTATTAGCCTCACCTCTTTCTTGGGTCATATGAACCCAATGAACTCTGGACAGGTGTTGAATATATATGGAAAGTACTACAATTTTCAGTTTGGGAGACATTTAGGGTTGTCATAAATCCTGAATTCTTCTTGGAGAAAAAAAAATTCTAGTACATAGAGCATATGGAAATTTTGTTTTAGAATGTATACGTTTGCATATATTTTATTTACTATTCACAAATATTTATATGCACAGATGTACTTTTTTATTCATTCCTTTAACTTCTTCTATGTACCAATGTGTTCAACTGCTTTTCATTTTTAAAAATAAACCAATATCATTTTAGCTATATAGATTCTCCAAATATCCTATAGCTTTTTTATAGATGCATTTCTCAGGAAGTTTCCAGATGAATTCTTATTAATAACTACTTAACTTTAAGGTAATATATTTTAATAATTGTGAAAGCTAAATAATAATTTACCAAAATTTTTACACATCATATGGTCTTTTGTAAATATGTTATTATGCTTAGGTGGTTAATTTTAGACAAGAATCTTAGAGCACATACTGAGATCTTCTTCTTCCTAAAAAATAGCTTCCATAATTAAGATTAGAGTTACTTAGGCCTTGAATGTTGTGAGGGATTTGGGTATCTCATTTTTTTTTCATGCAAAATAATAAATTATGTGTAAAAACACTTAATAAAAGACAATTTTAAATCTTGACCTTTCTTGATTTTGAATACATTGTATCGATAAGATAAAATGGGGTGTGTGTGTGCATGTATGTATAATGGAATAATATAGTTACATTAAGTAAAAATTTGGCCACTAATTGATGGTCTAATACTAGCTTTTGGCAACACTCAATACTAACTCATGATAGTAAATGACATTAACTAGTAGTTGTTGAAAATATCTGGTGTTGGTGTGTTGCATATTGTTAAGCATGCAGCTCTTAGAATCAGACTACCCATATTCAAATTATGACTGTGCCAGTTATTTGACTGTATGAGTCTTTGCATACTTCTTAACTTTCCAAAATCTCAGTTTCTGCATCTATAAAATGGGCATAACAGACCTTAACTGAAAACGTTGTTGTAAATATTAATTGAATTATTATAGGTAATATATGTAATACGTGTAGAATAATGACTGGTAGTTGGTAAGAAAAATCAATCTTTATTAAAGTTATTGTTATGAAAAAGTGATGTTAGTCATTATGATACGGCAGTCATCAGTGTAGCTTGAATGATGTTAGTTTTTTCCTATATGATTTAAATATACAGCCTAAGTGCTAAACGTTTAATTCACTATGTGCTTTAGATAGACTTCAGAAATTTTAATTCTCCTGTAAAACAACAATTTATATGAAAATATTTAAAATTCTCTCCCTTGAGAACGATTTCTTTGTAAAGAGGAAACTAAAAGGAAACTTCTAGTAACACTATCTGAAAACTTAGAAATATTCCAACATTAATTACATTTGAGATTTTCAAGTATTTTTAAAGTATGTTATTGATAAGCAACTCAATATAACAGAAATTAATTTTAAACATATTTTCATTGTATATAGGGTCAGGTTACCAAATTTTTTTGGAAAACTAGAAAGAACATCTATGATAAATCAAATTAAGTAGAAATTTCTTTATAGGTTGTTTCCATAAATAGAATGACTAATAAAAGTTTAGGTGATGGCCATTTTTTACTCGTAATTGTTTTGCATTCACATTGCTTATCTACTGGAAGTTTCCTGGATAAAAATTTCAAATTGGTTTATAGCTATTGCATCAAAAATTCTCAATAAAAGAATAACAGGTAATTGTATACTTATCATATTCATTTAGTAGATTGAGAATCTCATGTGTAGATATTAGTTGAAAGTTACACAACAGTGTTAGTGAACGTGGAATATAAAATTTCAGTAACAAGAAAATATATTATTTTTTGAATCCAAAGCAAACATTATAGACTTACATGTCTGAAGGTATCTTCTCATCAATTTATCTACCATTAAGTAATAAAAAATAAATACCAAACACATTGTGTATCAAACAATCCCTAAGAAGACCCACAATGCATCATCTTCCTCCTTGAGGGTGTGTGGAACCTTGCTTCTCAGGGATTGAATATGGCTAAGGTGATGGCATGTTACTTGCATGAATATATTTTATTATATAGAACTCCATTTTAGCAGATTGCTATAAAATATCATCTTGCTGGCTCTAAAAAAGCCAACATCAATGTTGTGAGCTGCCTAAGGAGTGGGCCATGTGACAGAGAACTGTAGGTTCAGCCATAAGAAGCCAGGACTCTTACTCATAAAACCACAAGGATTTGAATTCTGCCAATAACCTGAATAAACTTGGAATTGGAATATTCCTGTGTTGAAAACTCCAGGTGAGACCAATGCCCTGCCTGCACTTCTGCAGGCTGTGGGATTCTGATGAGAGGACTCAGGTAGGTCATGCCTGGACTCCTGACCTATAGCAACACAGTTAATACATGTGGTTTAAGCTATTAATTTTGTATAATGTGGTGTACAGCAATAAAAAATGAACACACTTGGATACAAATAACTTTGTCATTTTCATAAGAGAAACAACTCTGAAGTCACATTTTTAATCATTCCACCTGAATAGCACCTCTTGTATTCTGTTCCTGAATTCTAGACAATTCCTTCTGGCAAGTCATGACATATAGTTCTTCAATTCCATCACAACTACCAACCATTGTTTCTATTTCATCATCATTCCTCAACATTTTCAGATTCTCCCTTCCTTCTTGGCTTGTTGGGTTCCATGGCTTATCTTTATAATCACACTTCTTTCTCAATGTTCTGAAGCCTTTCTCAGTTTATCAAACTGACATTAAAACCTCAATTCTGGCATATATCAAAACATCATATTATATACCATTAATATGTACAATTTTTATTTGTCGATTATACCTTAAGAAAGCCGGGGGGAAATTTTAAAACAAAGTGAAGACTATGGGAGAAAAAAAATAAGTCCAATCCTAAGTCAACTTACTGTAAATAAAATCATCTTATAATATTTTTCAACTTTTAAAAATCAACTCCATCTATACAGTAGAGCAGATTTAAAGATTCTGGAGTCATTTTTCACTCTGCGCTTATGCTTACACTTCATATCCAATCCATCAGCAAAACCTGTCAGTTTTGAAATAAATCCCAGCAGTAAAAATTGCTGTAGATATCTGCAGCTCTATGTCTCAAATCTGAGAAAATGTCTGCTACAATATGTCTTTCCTCAGGACGTTTACCTGGAGACTGGACACCAAACCAGCTCCTTTCTCATCCCTCAGAACTCAACTGAAGTCAGGGCTCTCTGCTGTCCTGCCTGAGGGAAGGTTTAGAGGTTAAGCAATATGAGTTAGGATAAAGATAAGCCACCAGGACAGTACCTTGATATCACTCTCTTCTTAGGATAGGACTATAAAGAGAAGTCATCTTGACAAAGGGATAGCCATTCCCCCACTCCCCTGCTGAGACGCAATAGAACTGTAACTAATGAGGAGCTAGAGCTATGTGCAGAAGTGGTTAAAAGCAGGGATCAACAGAGCTGAGGGCAAAATGAGCCCCTTAGGCCTGAGCACTGACAGAAACCATCAGATATACAACACAGAAGTGCTGTTTTGAAAGCAAGAAGCCAAGGGATAAAAAGCCTTCCAGATCATTCCCCACAGGTAAGGCTCCCCTGCCTTCCTGCTTGCTCCACACTAGCACCTGTTAAGAAGGGATAAACTTTATATTCCTGCAGGGACATGCATGCACACACGCACACACACACACACACACACTCACACTCTCCACTCGTATGGTTTAAGAAGCTATTGTGCCAAATCAGAAATTGAGATTTTCAGTTGTAAAATTTCCATTATTTTTGAGTTTTTATTTTCATTTGGTATTTCTTGTCTTTCTGTAGATGATTAGTATTTTTTTCCTTGAGTATAGTGATAATAGCTAGTAATCTGTTAATTCCAACATGTGGGTTATCACAAATTCAGTCTCCATTGGTTGTCTTTTCTCTTGAGAATATTCTCCTCTATGTGTGGATGTTAATTATGCAATAAACAGTGAAGTGATTACTGTCCTCTCCCATGTGCTCCAACAGAAACTATATAGAATCTAAGAAGGTTAAAGGAAAATCAAAATCCCGATTAAGAAATGAAAGGCAGCAGTAGTAATAAGAGATACATTACTCCATGCATCAATCCCCATATGGCCAGTGAAAAAGCTGACAAGAGCCAGAGACTTATACTCAAATATCATCAACTAAATTCAGTTTTGGCTCATGTAGTCTCAGCTGTTCCAGACAATCTGACAACTTTATCCGGTGCAGAGATCCATGGCATATAACATGCTGTCCTGGACATTTCCAGCACTTCTTAAAAATTTTCACTGGCACTTGAGAACCAAGACTAATTCACATTCATTTTACAAGGCCTTTGATGTATATCTGCAGGGCACCCCTAAGGATACTTAAATCTCTCCCTTTGCTACTATTGGAGGTTCAAGACATGGCACAAAAATCTGTACTCTCTGAGCCCCATAGCTTTTACCATATAAGGGAGGCCCAGTTGGTTGACAAGTCAGAAGCCTCACTCTCAGCTCTGATTGCGGTATAATCACATTTCCACCAAAAGGAGTGCTTGATAAACTCTGACAAAATTCAGGGTCCTGTTCACCAAATACATGTTTTTTGGGAGGAAATATGTCATAATTCTTCTGTTGTCACATTGACCTTCCACTGCTAAAAACAAAAGGTTTAGCATCATATAGAATTGTTTGTGCATTAGAAATGGTATGCGCTTAGTTTGGGCATTTTAATTGGTCCTTTATATCAGCTACCAGGAAATCAGCCCTTTTCTGGAATGTGTAAACACTATTGGTGGGAATGTAAATTAGTTCAAACACTGTGGATAGCAGTTTGAAGATTTATCAAAGAACTTAAAGGATAACTACCATTAGACCCAGCAATCCCATTACTGAGCTTATATCCAAAAGAATATAAATCATTCTACCAAAAACACACATACACTTTTACGTTCATTGCAGCACTATTTAGAATAGCAAAGAAATGTAATCAACCTAGGTACCCATCAATGGTGGATTGGATAAAGAAAATGTGGTACATGTACACCATGGAATACTACACAGCCATACGAAAGAACAAAATCTTGTCCTTTGCAGCAACAAGGTTGCAGCTGCAGGCCACTATCTTAAGTGGAACAGAAAACCAAATACCACATATTCTCACTTGTAAGTGGGAGCTAAACCTTGGGTATATATGGGCATAAAGATGACAGCAATAGACACTGGGCACTACTAGAGAGTGGGTGGGGGGGCAAGGGTTTAAAAGCTATTGGATACCGTGCTCATTAGCAGCATGATAGGATCAGTCATACCCCAAAGCTCAGCATCATGCTATATACTCATGTAATAAGCTTGCATATGTACCCCCTAAATCTAAAATAAAAGTTGAAATTACAAAAAAATAAAATACATAAAGCAATTATTTTTAAAAATGTATAAAAATAAGGTTTCTGTGACATTTGAAATAGTGGCAAATAAATACATTTAGAATTATGTTTTTTGAAAAAGAAATCAGCCTTTTCCTTTTGTGCCTGGGCTGTGTTGGACGCTTACCTGCAGATTATGGCTCACTGTAACTTTGGAGCCCCACAGCCTGAGGGGTTGAGCCCCTTTTTATCTACACTGATTGCTGTTTGGAGCCTCCAGAAAAAGTGAGCAACCTACTCCACAGGTATCCTTTGGGTTTTTGGACACATTGCTTTCCTGACACGGCTACCAGAAAAACCCCTGTGTAAAGCAGTTATTGCCCTGCTACTGTTTTCTCATTGAAACTGAACATTTGACCTATAAAGACCTTGTGACTTTCTGGCTGATATTCTTATTTTGAGATGGGTCAACTCCGACTAAAGACTAACAAGGTGGGAAAAGCCCAACAAATTTCACTTGTCATCCAGCAATCCCATGTTGGGTATATATCCAAAAGAAAAAATAGATCAGTATATTGATGAGACATCTCCTCGCTTATGTTTATCGCAATACTATTTACAATAGCTAAG
Organism: Homo sapiens; assembly: GCF_000001405.40. Lineage (NCBI taxonomy): Eukaryota > Metazoa > Chordata > Mammalia > Primates > Hominidae > Homo > Homo sapiens. The sequence goes on from NT_187597.1 coordinate 24,093, forward strand.
GTATAACATCAACCAAAGTATCCATCAATGGATGAATGGATAAAGAAAATGTGGTGTGTGTGTGTGTGTGTGTGTGTGTGTGTGTGTGTATAGTGGAATAATATTCAGCCATAAAAATGGATGAAATTTTGTCATTTACAGCAACATGAATAGAAGTGGAAGACATCGCGTTAAGCTAAATAGGCCAGGCACAGAAGGATGATGATTGCATGCTCTCATTCTTACATAGGGGCTAAAAAATATGATCTCATGGAGGTTGACAGAAGAATGACAGTTACCAGAGGCTGGGAAAGTTGGGAAGAGGAAGATGAAGAGAGGTTGGTTAATGGGTACACACATACAGCTAGCTAGAAGAAAGAACTTATAAGTTCTAGTGTTTGACAGCACAGTAGAATAAATATCATTAAAAATAATTCATTGTGTTTTCAACATAGCGAGAAGGGAAGATTTGAAGTGTTCACAACACAAAGAAATGATAAATGATTGAGGTGGATATCCTAAATATCCTCATTTAATCCTTACGCATTGTATGCATGCATCAAAAAATCACATGTACCCTGTACAACTATTATGTATCAATTAAATTAAATGAAAAACTTTTAAACTTCACTTGTCAAAAAATTAAAATTGCATATGGCCTGGTCCTAATACTATCTCAATTTTGATGATAGAGTACAGCTATCCCTTCAGAAAAAACTTTATGTTCCTTCCATTCCACTTCCTGAAGCCAAGCCACTGTTTCTAAGTCGACCCTGACTGACACAACTTACCCTAAAAATCTGGCCGTGTTTCACCGCTGGTTTGGCTACATTAAAACCTGATGGTGGCTGTTGTGATTCAACTATTGTTCAATCTTAGTGCCGGCTATGTAAAAATAAAAGTGGATATGGTTATTCTGGTCACTAGTAAGAACCAAAGGTCATTTTCATATCTCTGGCCAATATTGCCATAGATAAACTGTGTTATATTTTTACTCATTCTTGGACTTTTGCCAATGGCCTAGACAGCTTGTTTGCCCCTGGAAAGACTACAGACTGCCTTATTAAATATACCCTGTTTGGGACCACAAACTGTTCAGAAATTTGAGGTTACTGAATGGTCAGTCTGCATCACTCACATAGATGTCCACAGTAAAGGCCCATCCTCTGAAGGCACTCACTGGAATCAAGCTGCCTATCATGTCTGCACTGCCAAGGTCAAGACTGTTGACATCTGGAGCCATAATTACACTGTCTTATCACTTTTGACACTGATATACATCAGTCTATGCTGTTATATTTGTTTCCTATTGCTGTATAATACATTATCACACACAAAAACTATACTTATTACTCAGTTATTGGCTCAAAGTTCTATAGGTTATATGTCTGGCTTGACATGGCTGGGTTCTCAGGGCATACCAAGGTCAAAATCAAGGTATTTAACAGTCTGGGATTTTGTATAGACAGTGTGGGAGAAAATCTATTTCTAGTAATATTATTCTTTATATAAGCCTTACTTGTGGTTGTAGAATAGAATTTTCTGTTTCCTTGCTTTCTGTCAAATTGAGGCTGCTTTCAGTTACTGGTGGCCATCCACATTCCTTGACTTATGGATCCCTCCTCTCTTCAAGCCAGCAACAGTAGGTAGAATCCTCAAGCTGTAAAGCTCTGATTTCCCCTTCAGCCACCAGTTAGAGAAAACTGCTTCAAAAGGGATCAGGTGGCTAGGTAAGGCTCACTTGGATAATATCTCTATTTTAAGTTAACTGTGCCACATAACATAACCAAAAGAGGAATTCTACATAAGGGAAAGAGTGTGGAAAATCTTGAGAGTTATCTTAGAAATCTGGCTACTATGGCTGTTATTAGTCCAGTCCAATCGGCCTACTCTTGCCACGTCATTGTGGCTCCTGAATGTAATCTATGCTATGTATTCATCTTTCCAGAACATCTGCACCCTGACAATGGGGCATTTTTGTTGAAAACGCTAAGAAGCAGTGAACTGTTATTCAAAGTGTTTGACAGATATTCCATGCTTCCTTCCATACTCAAGCTTCAGGTGATTTTGCCTATTAAAATGACCTCTCCAAACATCAACCAAATTAATAGAAACAGAAAGTAGTAGAATAATGATGGCCAGGTGCTGAGTGGGGCAGGGGCTAGGGAATTATGGAGAGTTATTGTTTAGTGGGTACAGAGTTTCATTCTGAGATAATAAAAAGGTTCTAAACATGTTTAGTTCCCATAACCACACAACAATGTGAACTTATATAACATCAATGAATTTTACACACAGAACGGCGAAAATGGTAATTTTTATGTATATTTTACTGCAGTAAAAGAAAAATCAACTCAAAAACATTTCTGATTCTTTTTTATCCACCCTCTCTTGGACTATACATGCACCTTCCTAAGTCTATTTGGTTAATACATTTGGCCCTCCCCACAAAGAGATTATCCCCTCTTGGCCACCCCTTGAGTAATAATTAGTATGGAAAGGACGGTAGCTTATATGGGATAGATAATGATCTTGTGGTTGAGTACTGAAATTGAAATTATTTTTGAATTTTATGATTAAATATAGGAAAGTATGTATAAACTTACGTGAATATGCCCTGTTACATTCTACAAATTAAAAGTTGATTAGCTTTCTTGTGATCCCCAAAGTAAACATAAAAATGTATAAGCCTGAAATATTATCAATTAGAAAATATTTGGAGAAACTGCTTCTTAAAATATGGTAGAATATTTTAAGAAGCATTGTTTAATACAAGCAAACCATGAGCCTTATATGAAAATATGAAGGCATCAGAGCAGGTGATAATCATGAGTAAAATTATAAATATTTTCTCTCTAAATACACATTTGGAGAAGCACATAGGACTTGATAAAGCTCAAATGCAAGAAGTCTAATAACTGAGACTCTTAGAAATTGTATTTCCAATGAGTTATATAGGAGAGGTGACTGTGTATTCTTAAGAAGTTTAGCTTTACATATAACTTTATTTTCACTAAGACTCTTTTTCTAAAATAATCTATTGTTGGGGTGATTTATGTAATATATGTTCAATGCACATTTAAAATACTTCATAAAATTAGTTTATCACTATTAAAAAAGAATTTACGTTCTGATAACCTGAACATTTATAATTCTATAGCTATAAACTGAAGTTACCTTCATAAGTAAAATATTTAGCAAAAATTTCTACATGAATTGCATTTAAATTAAATTTATTACAAAATGTGCTATATAAAATAACATGTAGCATCTTCTCAACATAGTTGACTATAAAATTTTGATTTAGCCTTGGGAAAAACACCTGAATATAATCACATAAAGAGAAATTTTTAAAACTTATTGTATATTTTCAAGTAATTGAGAGCCTCTGAAATACTACTCAAATCTGATTTATAGAAATGATTCACTTATGATTCTGACTCAGTCCCTAATGAAGTAATATCAGCCATTGCCTTGGGTAGTAAATAACATAAATTTTTTAGATATTAGTGCAATAATATTCACAGAGAGGATAGAAAAAATGAATACATAGAAACTTCCTGACAAATTGCAACATTTTAATGGTAAAATTAAATGTTAAAAACCACTCCCAAACAATGACATTCTTTATTCAAATAATCCTCAAGGAACAGAGGGAAGCAATTGTCATCTGCCATGGGGAAGCTGAGACTTAAAAAATTTGACAAACTCAACAGAGGCTACAGAGCTATACAGTTTTGTAACCTAAAGTATAACTCCTTCATATTACAGTGTTATTTCCAACATACCATGTGGTCATATACCATAATATTTTTAATGGACTTTCAGGTCGAACAGAAGATGATTCATGGTTAGAAGCATACTTGGAGAAATAAAGTTAAGCAGCAGCCTAACCTCAGTTCAAGATATTTTGGAGACCGATAACTAGCCATCAGCAAATGATGATGCTTTCTCATCATCACTCTTATCTCTTTATGTCACTCCTGTCTCACACAATCCTCAGGGCAATTTTTTTCCCACACAAATCAAAAATGAGAAAAAATCTATTTAAAAATTAGATTAGACAATATTTTTCCTGTAATAAAGAAACAGATTGTTCAATCTCCTTGGCATTTGAAATTAAAGGATAATTTTTTATTTAATTCTAAAGGAGAAAACAAGACTATTCAAGTAATGCAGCACATTGCAGGGCATGATTTTTCAGAAGATAAATGATTGATACGGCAATTAATTAAAAACAATATAATGGACAGATTTAAAAGCTTGTCTTCCAGTTCCAAAACGATGATAATATAATGTTATTACTGTGCTTGAACATTTACAACTGTCCACACAAAAAGTGATTAAAAACAAATTGTAATGTCCTGTACTCTTCTCCATTCTTAGTCAAGAAGACGGTCTTCCAAGTTAGATCACAACCTCCTTAAATCTCTTTATCCTTACACTGTATGCTATGCAGAATAATGCTCCTTCCCTAAAAATGTCTACCCTATAATTCTTGGAATCTATGAATATGTTTTCTTTCATGGTAAATGGAACACTAATACACAATGTATTTAAACATTTCAAAATATATATTAATTTAAAACAGCAATATAAATACCTATTATAATTAGCATGATTATAAAAATATTTCGAAAAGAGTAGTAAAAAGAGTGGTGCTAGCTTATGTTTTTGCAAATCATTTAATATCTGGCTTAATACAAGACAGCTGGATTTTCTTATCCACTTACATTCATCCTATTGTGATATATAGTTTTGGTTGGCATACATGAAGAAAATTCACCTTCCATGCTCATTTAGTTGGAACTAGCAGTGCACTTGAACAGCATACTAGATAAGCAGCAGATACAAAGATAGAATTAATAGCACAAGTTATATATTGGAGGAGACCTCTTTGAAAGATGTACCAGAAAGAGTATGAGATTAGTCAGAGAGAGCTTTCAGACTGTTCCTGGTCTGACACTGAATAAGGGAGAAGAAAGTAAGAAATATCTGGAAGGAAAAGCCCGAGACATCAGTGTAACTTTTAGAAAATTTTGGCGAAACTGATGAGGGGCAACAGGAAACTGAGACCATTTGAGGAATCCCACCTTAAACAGAAGTGGCCCAGTTTTACTGCCCTCTGCTTGATAGTCCTCAGCTGGGAGCATCTGACAGTGAGCGTGGCCTAAGCCTGATTGCTGCAGGGATCTCAGTGGGACTGCATCTGAATGCTCCTTAGCTAAGTATATTCGTCACTGCAGGGTTTTTGTTTTGCTTTTTGTTTCCCTGAAGATGGATTGGAGTGTTGCACCTCTGTGGCTATCCCACTATCCTTTTTGGATGATTGTGGATATTTATCTTTAATACTATGCCAAAACTCAGCATATGGTCATTTTTTTAAGGTTGGTTATGATTTGGTATCTAAAACCCTATTAAAATATTCTTTACTCTGCTATATTAAGATCCATGGGTCTGTCTTGCATTTTGAATGGAACTTTTCCTTACCCATCATTTTTGGGGTAAAAAATTAATTTTAGGGAAAACATTAGTTCACTGAATTATACAGATTATACAAGAGCTTGACACATTTTATTATAAAATATATATTTAAGGATCATAACTGTTAATGTCACCATCAGTCTCATCAGGGAAGTTTTTATGTATTGATAAACCACAATGGTGAGTATAAATAAGCTTTCCAAAGTTCTACTAATGGAGAAAGACAGGAAAGTAATACTTTCTGAACATACAGATTAACTACAAAGATTTTGAAAGAAAATGCTCATCACTGACAACAAATGCTGTCATTTATTTTCTCTCTTGAAGGGTTCACTTCATTCCTTTTTGAAGAGCTGTATCAATTCCCACGTCCAAATAATCATAGCTGTCAAATGCTTTTTCAAGTAAAAATAGTGTTTCATGGAAAAAAAAAAGTTGGTTCAGATTGCAACTCAAATAATTGCACACATATTTTCCTTGAGAAAACCACAGTACTAGCATGTATGTTGTAGAATTGCATTATACATACTTATAATTGTGGCATATGGAATATTAAAATGATAGCAGTTTAATGAAGTTAGTGATTTTTACTCCTGCTTTATCAAGAACAGTGTTATGTGAGAGGTTTTTGTTTGTTTTTTACCTTAGACATACAGAGGTGAGTAACATAATAATTGTGAATGTGATTTGGTGCCACATTTTTGATTCATGCTAAGGTAACATTTTTTTACCCATTGCTTTTGTACTGTGAATAAAAATGCTAACACAATGAAACAAGGAAATAACTTCTTGGTAGTTTTCTTTTTTTCCCAATAAGACTTGCAGACACCTGAAAAATTCTCAGGGATCTCTAGAGGTTGGTGGACCATACTTCAAAAACGGATGGCTGAAGATATATATTTATCGAACCCAAGGCTAAAAGTCATGGTTTCTAATACATAGCCTAGAGCTTGCTTCAACCCTGTAAACCTCCTCATATACTTTGATTTCTATTACTACTTAACCTTTTCCAGACACCCTTCTTGTCTACCCGTTTACTCATCACTTCTGCAATGCTCTATGGTATATATGGTATTTTTGTGAACACAGTTTCTTGGATTGCACATATTTTCTATTAATCCTCACCTTCATTTTCCTTTACCTTTTGCAGTAGATTCAATACCTCTTATCACCCTCAACTGTTCTCAAGCTAAGGACCATGAAACTGTTAGTATCCCCATTTCTGGTTATTTCTTGGTATTCAGATTTTGACAGAATATATCTATATGAGATATATATTACCACATTTAGCTTGGTAGATAGTAAAAAGAAATAAGCAGCAAATCAATTAAATGTTTTATGACAGCAAAATAAGCTGCTATGGAGGTAAACATGAGAAGCTTTTCATTCAGAACAATAGTAGAGGTCATGAGTGACACATAAGGGCTGAAAAAATGCTTCATTATGTAGAGGTTTCCTCTCTGCTGGAAGGGATTATAGTACTAACAATGTGCAAGAATCTGCTTATATTGCAAGGAAAACACTATTTTTTTTTTTGTCACCAGTGTCTGCATTTCTTGAGATAATGTTTTTTGTGTCAGATATGTTAGTGAGCCACCAAGAGCCAATTGTTCTCTCTTTAAGGCTAATAAAATTTCCACTTTTTTCTTTTGAGACAGAGTTGTACTCTGTTGCCCAGGCTGGAGTGCAGTGGCACAATCTCATCTCACTGCAACCTCTGCCTCCCAGGCTCAAGTGATTCTCCTGCCTCAGCCTCCTGAATAGCTGGGACTACAGGCACCCGCCACCACACCTGGCTAATTTTTTGTCTTTTTAGTAGAGACAGGGTTTCACCATGTTAGCCAGGATGGTCTCGATCTCCTGACCTCGTGATCTGCCTGCTTCAGCCTCCCAAAGTGCTGGGGTTACAGGCGTGGGCCACCACGCACAGCAAAAATTTCCACTTTTTAAGGGACATCAATGTTTATCTGCAGGAAATAAATTATGGTGAATTAAAGCCAATTATGCTCATAGCATTCTCCATATCCAGATATTTAACAGACTTTCTTGCTCTTATCCAATGAGACAAAAGGATGTTTTCTCTTTTGGTGGAGCTTCTGGGAAGAAAAAATAAAAAAGCTTGAACAAAGACACAGTGGCCCAATAAGTACTTGCTTGAATTGTTCATCACTTTCCTTTCAGCCTTGAATGAAAACGCAGAGCCTGTTGAATCCAGTCATCCTGCTGTCGTTGGATGGCATGGCAACACTTTCAGAATAGCCAAGCAGGAGGAAAAAATGCTTTTGGACCTTGATGCATTCTTGAGGATGTTATTGTTTCACCACTGGTATTAATTTCATTTTTTAAATTAAGCTAGATAAAAGGAATATTGTTTAAATCTCTCATTTTAATTTCATTATTGTTGGGGATGGATAGTCACAGCCCAAAGCATTTACAATCTTTTGATATGGTTCTCTAGAATTGAAATCTTCTCCTCTCCTAAATTTTACCACTTACATAGCCTCCAGTTGATGGGTATGTGGCTTGGTTTTACATGACAGTTTCTTGCATTGGCCTTTTGATACTCACTGCTCTTTTATTTTAAATATTTAATCTCATTTTTCCCCTGTAATTGGTCTCTGACCACATTGAATCTCTTGGTGATATGGTTGATTTTACAAGTCTTTTATGTGTTTTCTTACCTCTCCTCCTACTGAATATGTAACCTAAAAATCATAGTTTCTCACTTTTGGGAACTTCCTATTAAAAATTCTTGATCTCTGTCTTTGTACCTTTCCTCTCAGAAATTTGTCTGTTCCTAGGGTAAGGGAAAAGTAAGAACTCCCACATCACATGAAAAGCATAGGCAACCACTGGGCTATCTTAGGCTCAGCAGAAAATCCTTAATGATGTAGTTTTACTCTCATATTCTGAACAGAAACTAAGTGATATCTGGAACTTTTACTAAAAGCTTGCAGATTTATGTAGACTAGGCATGCAGCCCACTGGCCCAAGTATTTTCTCATTCACTAGTTAGGTACATGGTTCTAGCATATTATCTATTCCTCCAAATGTAGGAATCAATTATTAGACATACACAGAACACAGATCAGAGAAGTGTGATACTATCTCACCTGATCTCCGTAATGTTACATTTTCCCTCAGAATCAGAAAGGAAAACCCTTGACAATTTTCTTTCCTGTATTTTAGAGCTCCCTTAATGCCAGACCCAATTTTACTTCTATTTTGTAAGTTATGTTAAAATTCTCTAATTCCTGGGTTGGCCAATTTTCTCTCATGACGGTAAAGTATTTGCAATTGTAAACTTTTTTTTTCCCCCGTCTAGGCAAAGCCTGACTTTAGTAGCCATTGTATTCTGTAGGCTCAGAAATTTTATTTTTCATATATAAAATTTAAAATTCTTCTCTCTTCCTTTTAATTCATTTAAGATATGGGCCTCCCTATGACAAATAATTGTCTCTTTTATATAACAAACAGGTTATATAAAAGTAAACCAAAATAGATAAGCACAATCGCATATTTACAAATAATAGAATCTGTGGGTTCTATTCTTTGGACCACACAGGTCAATGTCATGCCAGAGCACAGCAGAAGACTGGGAACTCTTGCCTTGTTCTTTAGCTGTTTATTCTTACTAAATGAATAGAGGCTTTCCACTTTTACCTTCGGATAATCGTTTCCACATTATCCCTTAATGTATCCTGATCATTTCTGGTTCAAAGTTTTCAAAAGTACCCAATTTCTGATTTTTCATTATTACTTATGCTCTTCCTCTATGTTAACTTTTCTTTCCCCACTCAAATTGTAATACAGGTTTCTTTATAGTTTACCCATTTAGTGAGGTAGGGGTATGGAGTGATTTTTTCAGAATATTCTGTTGATAATTATTTAAGACATATATATTTCAAGTTCTCTTCTGTATCATATTCCTTTTACTTTTAGGAATGAATACCAAGGCTCTTATGTTTAAATATCAAAAGAGTGGTAAAACGTTAAAAAACAGCTCATTTAAATTTATTCTATGGTTATAGTCTCAAAAAGATAAAGCATAGTCCATGTCTATTTTTGATTCAAAAGGGAAATAGTTCAATCCTTCAAAAAGTGTTTACATATAGTTTGAAGGAAAGTCCACTATGTGTGGTGCCAATTTTCTTTTTAAAACACAGATATTTTTATGTCATCATTTTATAGTAAAATCTAGTGTGCTTTAGAACTACAACTCAGCTATATATCTATGCTGCACACTTGATTTCTAGAATTTCACCAAAAATAAGAGTGGTTGAAACTATTGATTTTTTCATTGGCTTTTGATTCTGTGGGCAAAAGCTAGTTACTATCTAATCTATACTAATTTAATAAAACTGCTAACTAATAAAGCATGTCTCAGCCTGAATTTTAACACTACTTAGAGTTTCTGGGATGGTAAAACCACTGGTCTTCAGCTCTGATCGTGAAAAACCACATGGGAATCTTTGTGGGGAAAGAAAGACATGCCAACCTCCCTCTAATCTATTCACTTCTGTCCCTCTTATTTGAAATCACTTTGATTCCATAGGTATGTAAGTTCTTACAGTAATGAATTTTAAGTTATTGCAAAATAAAATGAATAGCTAACTGCAATATTGAAGAAGGGATTATAGTGGTGTATTCTACGATAATATAAAACAAAATTATCCTTAAAAATACACTCCAAAATGTGATTCAGATATAATCTCCTGAAATAGTAAGATGTTTTGTTGTGTGCTTTAGTCACTATGGTTTTCATTTTTGGCAAGAACACCTTAGAATCAATAGAATTAACTGAGAAATTCTTCTTTTGAACTTCACATTGAAAGAGTACACCATTGAGAGTCTTCTCTAGTAAAGCTATTATAGAACACTAATAATAAATACAATGAAAAAGTCCAAACTAAAATTTTCTTGGCTCTAGGATATCACGTAGATTTAGGTAAGTATAATTTCTGTTTTGATTTTTGTTGTTGCAAATCATGGCATTTTCTTGGAAAAAACTCTGGCTTTATTCACATTTATGTGGAGATAAGGTTTTACTTCTAGAGTTCATTTATATGGAGATAATGAGGTTCATAACATCAACAGGGTTCCTCATTAGATGACTTAAATATAAGGAACAACATTCATATGCATTCACATACATACAACCTTGCCTTATAATTTTTCTAAAGTACATGTATCTATAATTACTGAATAACAAAGAATTTCAGGACTGTAAGCTCTTATTAGTGATTCAGTTTTAAACTGTCTGCTAAACAACTGTTGTCTGAAACCTCCTGAGAAATTATATGTGACATGATTTAGATATATAACCTATCCAGAAGAGAGCTATGGTCTTGAACTATATATATACACACATGTATATATGTGTATATATATAATATACATGTGTGTATATATATATATAATATACATGTGTATATGTATATAATATACATGTGTATATATATAGTTCAAGACTATAGCTCTCTATGTTTCTGTGTATATATGTATATATACATATATTATATATATCTTCATATATTAACTGAATTTCTCTCAGAAATTATATGTATTAAGTTGGATTTAAACATTATTACTTTAACATTTATCAAAAGATACTTAGGAAATTCCATTCCGTGTAATACTAGTTATGTTTTTTTTTTTTTTTTTTTTCAGATGGAGTTTTGCTCTTGTTGCCCAGGCTGGCGTGCAATGGCGCGATCTCAGCTCACTGCAAACTCTGCCTCCTGGGTTTAGGCGATTCACCTGTCTCAGCCTTCTGAGTAGCTGGGATTACAGGCATGCGCCACCACGGCGCGGCTAAATTTTGTATTTTTAGTAGAGATGGGGTTTCTCCATATTGGTCAGGCTGGTCTAAACTCCCGACCTCAGGTGATCTGCCCACCTCGGCCTCCCAAAGTGCTGGGATTACAGGCATGAGTCACCGTGCCTGGACAGTTATGTGTTTTTAGAAGAAATGTTCTTGGCATTTTTAAATACTATTTTCCTAATCGCAACATCAAAAATTAATCCTATAAATTAGCAAAAAAAGTGCCAACAAATAAAAACAGAAACATAAAACAATCTTTGCTAATTGCAAGTTGATATGTGTTCTGAGAATTATATGATAATAACAATGCCAAACAGGTAATAGATAGTAATTGTATACAAGACCATACATTTATATGCTTTAAAATTCTTACAAAAATTCTTACATGAGAAAACTAAATTTTAAAAAGGAAAAATGTAAAAAAATCTGTGCTGTTTGTACTTTTATTACTAGAAAGACCTGAGTTATATTTAAGCTGAATAGTGGCAATCATTGACACTTTATTTGCATATTGAGTAACAAACACATTGTTTTAATTTTGTGATGTGTGTTGTTCTGAGGTCTGCATATATATTAACTCTTTAACCTCACCACAAACTATGGGGCTATAGAAATGGGGAAATAGCTGCCTAATTTGCTGAAAGTCATATAGCTATCCAGTTTTAGACGTAAGCTTCAAACCCAAGTCATTGGTTGAGTCCTTACTCTTAAATCATTAGCTATAGTTCCTTTGTTATTTGTGGGTTTTTATTTTTACATTTTCCTCATATTGTATTTTATTTGTTTTCCCATGTCAAATTCTTCATTTGTTTATTATTTACATTGTCCTATATATTTTGTCTTTGCAGTCTACTTTACACCTGAATTGAATTGTAAATATGTTAAATGTAGATGGACAATCAATGGAAACAGAAAAATATATCGGTGGAAAAAGTTAAATCTGTAAATATTCATCATAAAATGCATTGTTTTTAAACCCACTCAGTACTCTAAATATTTCTAGTTCATATATATATGTTTCATATCTACTTAGAAGATATGAACTTTTCATTGTTTGTATTAGTCAGGGTTCTCTATAGGGACAGGACTAATAGGATAGATGTATATATGACAGGAAGTTTATTAAGGAGAATTGACTCACACCATCACAATACAAAGTCTCACCATAGGCCATCTGCAAGCAAGCCAGTGGTAGATCATTCCAAGTCCTAAAACTTCAGAAGTAGGGGAGCCGACAGCACAGCCTTTAGTCTGTGGCTAAAAGCCCAAGAGCCCCTGACAAATGACTCTTCTAAGAGTCCAAAAGCTGAAGAGCCTGAAGTCTGATGTTCAAGGGCAGAAAGCATCCAGCATGAGAGAAAGATGAAGGCTGGGAAACTTGGCCAGTCTAGTCTTTCCATTTTTTTCTGCCTGCTTTATCCTAGCCATGCTGGCAGCTGATTAGATAGTTCCCGCCCAGATTGAGGGTGTGTCTGCCTCTCCCAGTCCACTGACTCAAATGTTAATCTCCTTTGGCACCACCCTCTTAGACACACTCAGGAACAATACTTTGCATGTTTTAATCCAATCAAGTTGACACTCAGTATTAACCATCACAACATTAGAGGGCAAATGTTTTTGTAATTGTGCTTTTCGTAGTACAGAGATGGCTCAGCATGCTCATCTAATAACTGGGAAATTGACAAATTTGGCTTATGTATTCAATGCCACTCTAACTAGGAAGTTAAAGACTGTAATTCTTAAGTAAACCATTCTGCCAACCAGCATAGCTTTTGCCACAACATTAATAAGATATTAGCTGGTTGATGTGAAATTTGGTAATGCACAGATGATATCCAAATTTGTCACTTTTTTATATTACTGCATTGATTACAGATGTGAAACGTGGAAGTCTGGAGAGGACAAAGGAAGGACTTTTCTCTTCCAAAGGACTTTAAAAAGCTGAAAAAAAAAAAACAAAAAAAAACAACCAGCATTGAAATCTGTCTAAAATGCAGTCATTTATAAAATTAGAAGACTTATGCTGGCAGATGTTAGGAGAGTTGAAAATAGTAGGTAATTATAGAAGGAGTAATTTTCTCTTCAAAAGTTAGCCAACCCTTTGCTTGGGTAGCAATTGAGATTGCAGACCCTGGGATAGGTTTAATTCTCCACTGAACACTAGATAATTTGAATAAAGACAGCTCACTAACCATTATTCATCTATGTCCACACAACCCAAATTTCTTAAATATAAAATCTATCTACCTTCAAACAATATTGACCACCCAGAGAAAATGTCTTTGATAATTAATGGTTGATATCATAGAAACACAAGAACTTGGACCTTTAAAAGTACTCCATTGTTAATATGTAATTGATGCTGTTAAAACTAACATGTACACCTTTAATTCTTATACTGTAAAGTAAGAAAATATAGCCCAGGTTATACCACTATAGAGAAACGGAGGAGGATGACTGATTGTTCTCTGAATTCAATTCTTCATACGTTATTGTTCTACCACAGAATGTAACTTTTTAAATCTCTCAAATTTGATATTTACAGAGGTAACTTTGAAAGATCACATCAAAATTGCTGACCCCCACACTTAAAACATCATTCTTCTAACTCAAGATGTCCAGGAAGTCCAAAATAACATGATTCTAATAGAAGGAAAATAAACATATACATATCTTGCACAGAATTTGATTAATTGCTAAATATTTCATTTAAAAATTCATTATAGATAGGACATGTACAGATCTGCTTGAGTCCCAGATCTGTATATGAAAATGTATGATTATAATTGAGTAATTTTAATTATTTTAAAATTTTTCTGTGCTATAGTCTGAATGTTTATGTCTTCCCAAAATTCATATGTTGATATCCCAATCCTCAACATTGGTATTAGGAGATGGGGCTTTTGGAAGGTAGTTAGATCATGAAGATGAAGCCTTTGTGAAAGGGATTAGTTCTTTTATAAAAGGGGCTGAGTTAGACTTGTGTTTTCCTGTGGACCTTGTATTAATGATATTTTATTTAAATTATGACAGCTACAATGCCACATGAGCAATGTGGTCAATCATACTCTGCTACATTAGGATGAAAAATTCATAGGAATAAAAATTGTGGTACTAAAATTATGTTTGTATTATTATTAAACATTGGCCATATTTTGAGTTGACTAACAGCTGTTTATGTGGATATATGGCTATTAGTCCTGATTTTCGTTCCCCCAGAATGGACTACTCCCTTATCAGTGCTTGTACAATGTCCTTTACTTATTTTAGAGAATTTTTGCATTTTATTTATCTTCTACATGTTATGTCTTCCCAATGTAGGCAATAAAAGCTCTTAGAGACCATGAATAAATAATCTCACAAATGTTCTGCTATATGGTAGTTAAAAAGAGTTGTCTACTAATTGAATAATTATGTAGATACACAAATGTATTATATATTTTATAGTACATTGACACAAAGTAGTTATGAGAAATACATGTAAAGTTAAAAGCAGATTGTTGGGCATATGGAAAGAATTTTTTTAAAAGATGGTTGTTATACTCAAAATAATCATTATTGCCATCCCATCTTTAATGAAAGGATGAAATATTTAGACATTGGGACTACGCAAAAGGAAGATGAGTTTTTTGAAGACAAACTACAAGACAGGTATTATTCCAGACATTTCTACATACTAAACTTACTTGCCTGAGTTAAATGAAGTGAAATAGTGATTAGCAAATATAGCAGCATATATATATATATAGATATAGATATATATATATATATATATATATATATATGTTATCGATGAGAATAGACATTAAAAAGTAAAATGGCTTGTTGGTAGTTTATACTAACTGATAATGGTTTTAGAATATAAATTGAGTATATAAAATATAATTTTACCTTTTCCTTATTTTTCCAATATGTTATAAAGTATCCCCATGTTATGTATTTTGAAGCTCTAATTTCATATACACTGATTTTCAAAAGATGCTTTTTCACATTTTTCAATTTTCAATGAAATCAGCTATAAAATGAGCGAAGGGGCAGATAAATGTGAATTACAATTATTCAAATGAGAGAAAATTGATGTACACTAGGAAAATTGGTGTTACTGGTTAATA
Source organism: Homo sapiens (assembly GCF_000001405.40). NCBI lineage: Eukaryota > Metazoa > Chordata > Mammalia > Primates > Hominidae > Homo > Homo sapiens. The sequence goes on from NT_187597.1 coordinate 39,492, forward strand.
AAAGTGTATGTTTTGTGGGGGAGGTTTTCCGTATATGTTGCCTTCATTTAGGGTGAACGATGTCCTAAGATTCTAAAAAGATAAAAAGTATTTGTGCATTTCTGTTTTTCTTTGCAAAACTTTTGAAATCTAACAATAGATTATGAGACAGTCTCCCTGTCTGCTCGTCGAGCTATAAAGTACTGGCGTGCCAGTCAAAATTGGGTTTTGCAGAATCAACGTGATGCACAGCCCTGCATGAAAATGCCTATCACACAGGAAATTAGAAAACACAAAATGGCTTCAGTCAGAGATGAACTAAGAGGACTAAAGAAGAGTTGATATATTCTCTTGGATCCTACCTTTTTGTTAGGGTTTAAACTACTATTACTGTTGAATTACGGTACTATTCTTATTAAAAGCTATATAGACATTAAAGTGATTGCTGAATACCTGGGATTCTAAATCTCTGAAAGAAAACTAAGTGTAACATATTGTTCAAATGTTCTACATCTGAAAGATATATTTTCTTTAAAAAAGACCTATTAATTTCACACGTTTTAACTCATTTTAGGATTATAATAATCCTAAATGTCTAGTGACATTTTGAGGACCAGGATTAAAATTATTTTTATATACTAAATGTCCACAGCATTTCATGTGCTTGTTTTAAATTTTTTAATGCTTCTTGCTAGTTAGAGAGCAAAATCAAAATTGTACCACAGCGTGCAAGACTGTACTCTTTCCATGCATTGGTGATGTCCTTTTTAGACCACAGTACCTTACACATATTTTAATTACAGTATTTATCAGATGCATGAAATTATTTTTTAATATCGGTCTTTACACTAATCTGCAAGATAGTCAGGGGCTGACAATGTCATCTATTTCAGTTATGGACCTAGCACAATTCTGGATACATTTTGACATGCAAATATTTTATTAGTAAAAATTAAAATTTTATAAATATAGTTTATGCAATATATGTGTATATTTTACAAAATGTAATTTTAAATTAACTGGTCCTTTAAACAATCCTATAAATTACTATTTTATAGTTTCAAAAAGTAAGCCGTGGAAAGATTAAGATAAAATTACTGAACTTTCTCACTCAGAATAATTCTAGGTAAATGAGACAAAATTATTTTATATGCATTCTTAGTTACAACTGATGCTATTTGTGTTTACCAAGAATCCCCAAATTTAAAAAAAAATCAAAAGTATTGGTCAGAGAGAACAAAGAAAATGATTTAGGTCACCTAATCTATCTTCAATTAAAAAAACTAATAAATGATTTATTAAATTAGTTCAGCATCACTTAATGAGAAAAAGTCATGTTTTCTAATAAATCCAGTGACCAGCAAAAGGCAACCAAGGATCAGTGCCTAGACAGAGAGACAATCTCTTATGTCAACATATTTGGAAGGGCAAAGCTAATAGGGATATTCTGCAGATGTTTGTAATATAGCAATGGGAATCTGAAAGCAGGCAATATGCTGCGATTCCGGTAAAAGGGGGAACATTAGGAAGGTCTGCCAGTTGGGAATGAAGGCTGAGGCCTGGGAGTGAAATTCCATTCCAGAATTCTAAGTCTAGCTAAAACAGGTGTATTAGGGTTTCCTGGAGGGACAGAACTAATAGGATATATATACACAGGGGAGTTTATTGAGTAATAACTTACTCGATTACGAGGTCCTACAATAGGCTGTCTACAAGCTTCAGGAGAAAGGAGAGCCAGTCCGAGTCTCAAAATTAAAGAAGTTGGAGTCTGATGTTTGAGAGCAGGATTAATCCAGCACAGGAGAAAGATGTAGGCTGGGAGTCTAGGCCAATCTCGCCTTTTCACTTTTTTCTGCCTGCTTTATTATTTTATTGTATTATATTTTTTGAGACAGAGTTTCACTTGTTGCCCAGGCTAGAGTGCAATGGCGTGATCTTCGCTCACTGCAACCTCTGCCTTCCAGGTTCAAATGATTCTGCTGCCTCCACCTCCCAAGTAGCTGGGATTATAGGCATGTGCCACCACATCTGTCTAATTTTGTATTTTTAGTAGAGATGGGGTTACACCATGTTGGCCAGGCTGATCCTGAACTCCTGACCTCAGGTGATGCACCCACCTCGGCCTCCCAAAGTGCTGGAATTACAGGCATGAGCCACCACGCCTGGCCTCTGCCTGCTTTATATTCTCTGGCAGCTGATTAGATTGTGCCCACCGGATTAGGGGTGGGTCTGCCTTACCCAGTCCACTGACTCAAATGTTAATCTCCTTTGGCAACACCCTCATAGACACACCCAGGGTCAATACTTTGCATCCTTCAATCCAATCAAGTTGACTCTTGGTATTAACCATCAGAACAGGAAAGGGATCCCTTTCTAGAAGAACCTGGTTAACTGTCTTGGCTGATAAAGCAGATAAACAAGCCTGGCAAATAGAGTAAGCTGATTTGCATTAATGGAACTTTACAACTATAATCTAGTTCCAGATTGTCTGTTAATGTTTAGCCTGTGAGATTTTATGGATTCCAGTTCTGGCAACTAGAGTGCAGAGCATGGGAGAGATGGGAGCAGGAAAGACAGTTCGTTATAATCAAACTCTATTTCCCAATATATTTATAATCTTTTTTACTTTTCTCCGAGTCTCTGCCAAGCCCTTAATTTGTGTTAATTTTTAGGATTAAATGATATCCTAATATACTTAATATACTTAAAATCACATTGCTTCTCTAGAACTTATGCTCTTATTGCCCCAGCTCAAGAAATGTTTGTTTCTGAACTATCACATTACTGAAGAATATGTTAAATTCATTGTGTTACTTCTTTCATATGAGAAGTCACTCTCAAGCTTTAAAAGTGCTTTACAAAGTTTATCAAAAAGTAAGCATTTTTCTTGAAATACAGACCATAATGCTTATATCAATATCTCCTTGAAAAGGTAAAATTAAACTGTTTTTATCTACATAATCACAGATTTCAGAATAGAAAAATTTGCATGAAACTTATTTTACTGTTTTGAATTTACATAAAGGAGTACAAAAAGTCATGAGCTCAAGGTTCGAATAACTAACTTAACAATATTCATGTTTACTTCCCAGACATTTTGTGACACCACTGATTCAAGAGCTCGTATACCTTAAAATTTATTCGTGCATATTTTCAACTATACAGTTTATTGAAGCGGGTATGATAAATTATGTTATTTCCATTTTAAATGTTGCTCTGTGAAATGAATATGGTACATAATTATGGAAATGACACTGGTAATTAGTTCAGAGAAGTAGCAGAACCTACATAATTTTTAATACATGGTTGAATTAAAAGAGTATTTTCAATAACACTTCAACATTTATTTCCTTATTTATTGTATTATTTAAGTGGACAAAATGTACTTTATAATCATTAAATTATCATTATGACTGATTTACTGGTCCTGAAAACAGGTAAGCAGAGTCAAGAAATCTACCTTAACTACCTGTATAGTCAACACTTTCTAAAATGTTGCACCTTTCAGTTATTCAAAGCCTACTTGTATATAATTGGCTGTATTAAGTAGTATATTTTTGTTTGATGATTAACTCAACACCAATCAGATAAAATTGAATGTGAGTAAATAATGTCAAAGTATCATAAGAATTTATTGCTCTACTCTGGTGACAAATATTTTTAACAAGGCTTAAATATGCTTTTGCTCTTTCTTATTTTGTTCTTAAATTCTGTCATAGCAAAATTTATTTGCTAATTAGAAGCACAGCTTAATTAGTTTTATCTAATATTTCTTTGTGAAGGACACTATTTTGTGTTGAGCTAATCAATATTCTAGGATTAATGGATACTATGATAATAAAAGGTTATTCATTTTGTATTTAAAATATTCACTCTTTTGCTTATACTACGTGACATATATAATCCATGAAGTAAATAACAGTGTTCAAGTACAATTCTCACAACTTGTAAGTAGATTGTTCATCAAAAAATTTTAAAACAAAAACTTAATATTACTTTTCATATTCAATTCAACACAATGGTTTTTGCAAATTATCTTTTTAAATTCTACTGTATCCCCTATAAAACCTTATTAAAGTTCTTGAATTTCAGCTTCCTCAAAAATCTTAAAGGATTTGATTGGTTCAGAGTGTTTTATTTTATAGGGATATATATATATATATATATATATATATATATATATATATATATATATGTATATACACACACAATGTACACAATTAGCAGAGGCCTGCAGAGAGGCCTGAAATCGGGTATCTACAGATAGTAGATTTGCAGAGTCTACAGATAGTCCGTAAAATCCATGACTTTTTTTGGTAAAACTTTGTTATAGGGTACGTGTCAATTTTTCTAGAACAAAGTTTCATTATTTTGTTTAGAAGTTTATGACTTATTAAAGGTTATATAAACGATGACATCTATAGAGCTGCTAAGTCTAAATATCTACATCTATCTAAGGATTTTTGTTTTTGGTCCATAACATGTTTTACTTTTCTAACTATTTAAACACCAGAGCAGCAATGCATTAAATAAATATATTCATTTGAAACAGCCCAAGAGAATCTCTTCACAAAGTTAATTTTATCTCCTTTACAGGATGAAGAATTGATGCTAATTTTTTCATGTTGTGAGTTTCACAGAAGATATGAGCAGTAGCAGCAAATGTATCTCACAAAACTATTTGCTAAAATTGTGACATTTTAATAACATTGTAGTTAATACTAATAGCAGAAGAGGTGCTCAGCAGGAAGTAGAAAGCATTTTAGGCCCGATCCAACTTTTTCCCATTGACCCTCAAATTTGTCTTTGCTTCATCATTAAGAGAGTTATATCATATAGGGTAGTCATATTCACATCAGTGTCAAGTCTCCTGCTACTGATAATGAAGACAAATTGATATCATGTTTGCCTATCAGTAAAACTTCAAAAATTATTTATCATATTCAACCAGTATGCTTTAGTAGTCTTAAAGCCATAGGGACCTTAATTGTAGTTATTGTAAATCCTAGATTTTCACCACAATCAGATTTTAGGTAATTTTCTTTTATTTTTTACCAAAGGCCCGGATAATTATACCTTTCAATAGTTGTATTTATATTTGTATACCTTTCCACAAAGACGCATTTACAAATAAAATTATTTAACAATGAGCACCCCAAAAGTAGCACATGTGGTGTCTATGCTTTGCCACACACAAACCAAAATGTTATTTTGGTTGATTATAAACACTGATAATTTTTTTAAAAAAATCAACTTTAATACATATTATTGCAAATCCTAATATAACATTTTAAGGGAATTAAATAAGATTACTTAAACTTGGAAAGTCAATAGACATGTACACAGGGGGAACGCCATGTGAAGATTATACTACCACAAGTCAAAGAACTACCTGATGCCAGAAGAGAAGTCTGGAGTGGATTGTTCCCCAGCACCTTCACAGGGAGCATTGCCCTACCAACACCTTGATTTCGAACTTCTCGCCTCCAGGAGTGTGAAACAATACATTTCTGTTGTTCTAAGCCACCCAGTTAGTGATACTTTATCAAAGCAGCCCTTGCAAATTAGCATATTGGTCTAGTTACTGAACTTTACTATTTTAATTCTAAATAGGAAGATATTTCTATGAATTAAAGTATATAACATACAGCAATATACAAATGAAAACTATTACTATGCTGATAATCTAAAATAAAAGTGTTACATTCTAATTACGACTAGGGTAGTTTTGATACCTCTCATAAACCTGAAAAAGAAAATATTCTAAACACATTTATCTACATGGTTCTCAAATTCACACTTAAAAGCAGTTTTGTGGAAACCCCAAAGTCCACAAGGTGGCATATTCAGAAGGGAGGTTTACGTAGCAACAGAGAGTAAACACGAGAAGAAAAACTGTTATTCAGATTTTCAATAGTACCATGAAGATGTACTTGTGTATCTTTATTGTTTTATGTCCTGAAGAGTGAGTATTTAAATGTTATTGAAATGAATTTATATCATTCATCCTATCTTTGGCTTCTAATATTGGACTGTCCACAGGTCGTCATTCATTCATTACATTATCTCAATTTCATCATTCTGGGATACTACTACTTAAATTTGAACTGTCACATTTTTCACCTCAAAGATTTTAGAAAGCACAAATCATTCAGGATAAATTATAAAAGAATGACCATCCAGCACACACATTCATATTCATTCATTAATCAAATGTTACTTACAGCCGAGTTTTTTGTTATGTAGTGTTACTTAACATATAATTAATCTTAGCCCACCGAAAAAAAATGTGTAGCATATAAGCTAAAAATTTAATAAGCAATAAATTATGTATTTTCTTTTCCGTCACCCTGAAACCCTTGTTTATAATGTGGTTCTATATGTTTCTCTTTCAGCATGTGAGAATGAAAATTATACTTTTTAACACAAGTTTTGTGATTTTGCTGATCAAGGAAAAAGCTCGTATCAGTAGAAAACTACGCAAGTTCTAGTTTCCAAGACCATTTAGAAATATCAGGTTAGGATAAAGAGTAGGGGTCCTGTAGTTTCCTCTGATCAGCGACGTAATCAAAAACTGCCCAGAGGATGTTTTAGAGACCCAAAGTGGGTAGCTCCTTTCCAAAAAGACAAAGATGTGAAGTTTAAGTCCTCACTCTTTCCTGGCCATGTGACTTATTTTGACCATTAGAATATGGTGGATGTAACTTTAAGTTCCTAATGTAAACCCCCAAAAGCTTGTGTATTAGCCCGTTTTCATGCTGCTGATAAAGACACCTGAGACTGAGCAATTTTCAAAAGATATGAGCAGTAGCAGCAAATATCTCTCACAAAACTATTCACTAAAATTGTGACATTTTAATAACATTGTAGTTAATACTAATAGCAGAAGAGGTGCTCAGTAGGGAGTAGAAAGCATTTTAGGCCCAATCCAACTTTTTTGCATGGACCATCAAATTTGTCTTTGCTTCATCGTTAACAGAGTTATATCATATAGAGTATATGATACCTCCACATGGCTGTGGAGGCCTTACAATCACGGTGAAGGCAAGGAGGAGCAAGTCATGTCTTACATGGATGGCACCAGGCAAAGAGAGTTTGTGCAGGGGAATGCCATTTTTAAAACCATCAGATCTCATGAGACTCATTCACTGTCATGACAACATCATGGGAAAGACCTGCCTCCAGGATTCAATCACCTCCCACAGGGTCTGTCTCACAACATATGGGAATTCAAGATGGAGATTTTGGAGTGGACACAGTCAAACCATATCAGCTTGCAAATTTTTCTTGATAGTTTTGGGATCAATCGGTCATGGTAGTGTCACACGATCCTTAGGGTGTTGCTTTTCCAGTCAACCTCTGTGGCCGGTGGTGCCTTTACCCATTTTGCTTGGGCCTGCTGGACTCGTTCCACCCACTTGGTCTGGCAGGTTGAGCTCAGCTCACACTACTGGTCTGGATCCCACAGCTGCCGAGGGTGAACCAGGTGTGGAGTGGTGAGGGGTGTGTGAGTGAGCAGGCATGGGGTCTGGCCACTGGGCACAGCAAGTCAGCCAGCTGCTGTGGTGGGGTATGCAGCTCCAGGCCTTGGCACAGGTACCAGCTCCATGCAAGGCCGTGGCTGGACCAGATGTATCATGAGTGGTTTCTGCAACAGGCACCTGTATCTGGATGAGAGGAACACAATGGTACCCAGAAGCTTGGAGATGCCAGGAACTGCAGAGTCCCAAAGAGGATGTCACAAGCCCTGGCTTGTGGAGTCCCTAGGTCTGTGGTCCCTGAATGGCTGCAGCTTTTCTCTCCTTCTTGTTACTCACAACATGGTGAGCAAGGGGTCGTGTTTCAGCACTGTTTGTGTAACAGCTGTTTCAGTCCTGCTATTTGGTGGGCCCAAGTTCTTGTCCTGTGTCCAGGAAAAATGAAGTATGCGGACAACAAGCAGGCAGGTTGTCCCAAAGAATGTCTGAGCCTGACTGATTCTGGGGTTTTTATGTGCCCAGAAGTGAGGAAGTCCATGCTGATTGGCCCATGGGTAGCCACAGGCAGGCCTGGAAAAAGCACCATTCAATTGGCCAAATGGTCCTCAATGAAGTTCTCACTCCAGGCTGCAGGTTCCCCCAGGAACTGGCAGCCTGGTCTCCAGGTTTCAGGCTGTCTCTGGACTGAAGGTAGAGTTTCACTGGGAACCCATCTCTTCCTCCCCAGGAACCTGTCTGCTATTAACATGCCATCCATGGCACCTGGACTGTCTATACTGAGAGGCACCCACAGGCCTGTGCTGAGATGCCCTTACCGCCCCCCACCCAGATCCCCCTACCACGCTTGTCAGTACCCAAAGTCTGGAGGGGGGCAAGGTGGCAGGGGGCTGATGTGTCAATGTTCCCTGAGCACGTACGCTCGTACAGGTTGGGACACTGTCCAGGCTTAGCCACAACTTTGCTCCATTCTGGAGTGGGTGCTGGGAGCAGGGAGAGGCCAATGAGTGGGAGCAGGCACTTTCAAGCCTGTGGGGGCAGGAGGCTTCCTGGACCTCAGAGAGCACAGGGATGCCGGTGGCTGCAGCTGTGCCTGGGACCACAGGGCTCTGGCCTGCCAACTCGGTAGGGGGCGTACCTCTCACCTGTTCCTGACTCCCTCTGGCTTTATGAAGCACACAGCCCCAGCCGTACCTCCCCCACTGCAGCCTGTGTCCTCACATTAGCTGTTCCAGATGGGCCATCGCCACCATCAGTAGGAGCTTGAATTGGTCTGCTGGGTAATGGACAGCACAGGGGTAACTGCCATTGTCATCCCAGTCAGCTTCCAGATTTGGGAGTGGGGCCATCTGAAATAACTCACTTGTAGCCAATCTGTCAATCATCTGCAGACACATGAGCAAGCCAGGTCAGATCAGCTGAACTTAGTCTAGACCAGAGTAACAGCAGAATTACGATCTAAATAAATGGCCATGTTTTTCAGCTACTAAGATTTGGGATGGTTAATGTCTCAGCAATAGCTAACTAGTATAAAAATTGTTACCTGGAAGAAGAATGCTGCTACACACACACACACACACACACACCCCTAAAATGTGGCATTTTTGGGAGAAGATGACAGGCATCCCATTTTCCAGAATGCTGTGACAATTACCTACCTCACTGCTTTTTCAGCCCTGAAAACCATTGGCTTGCTATTTTCTCAGCCTTTGCTGGTGGTTCCTTCTATGCTTTTCCCATCTCTACCTGTCCATGTTACACAGTTAAAATAGAAATGGCCAAACTGTCATGTGTGGTAACTTGGAAAAAAGTAAATGTATTCAATGAGGTTTAGATCTGACTAAGGAGATCACAGGACCAAATACTGCAAGTGGCAGGTTGGCTTTATTAACTGTGAATGATAAATAGCTGCAAGAGAGAGAGATGAGATAAAGAAGCAATCCTCCATTTGCATGCCAAATTTAAAGACAATATAGAAGAGATAGGACTTGCTAGTTTGGAAAAATAACTGTCTATCATCACTACTCTTCTCTGCTAATAATGTATCCTTAAAGCAATATGAGGCCTGGAGCCAAAGCTCAAATTAAGGATGTGGCTGCCAGAACCTCAAGAACGCTGGAAGATTTAAGGCGGTACCTAGTAGATGATGCATTAGGTCTATAACAACAACCACAAACACTAAAGAAGCTCAAAGAATCTTATGGGAATTGTTCTTAAGCTGTTTGACAAGCCACTCAGAAGTGAAATCAGTCTGTCTAGGAAACAGTTGTGGATGTGGATTTTGTCACATGAGGTGATAAGATTTCTGATACATAGAAATCCCACAAATATTGTATGAAAGTTGTATCAGCCAAAAGCCATCAGCCTGGGCTAAATGGAATTGTGATTATTCATATTGCCAAAAGATTTCTGAGCTTCTAAATTTTTGCAGGCTAAGAAAAAAAATGCTGCAAATACGCACAATTTCTTATGGAAAATAAAAATATGTTTCCGAGGGCAGAAACAAGATCTGAGAGAATGCAGGCTATATTAAGAGAGAATAATGTAATAGAAATGAACTCTCAGGAAGAAGAACCAGGCCCTAATGAAAACACATTTCCTTTTTCAGAGAACTGAAAATAGTTGTACTGCAGCAGGATCAGGGACTGCTATGTGCTTACTGTTCTTTTATTTTTGAAGTGGGTAGGATTAATATGAATATAGTCTATGGTAGCTCTATAGTGATAGCGAGAAATGCCTGGAACTCAAGTACTTGTCTTTGGCCAAGATAGGGATGAAACATACTAGACAACGGCTTATATTTGTTTAAAGTCTGAAAATTCCCTACTGGGATACGTAAGTTGTCAAGTTTGTTACTGAAAATGTATATACCGATCATTAAAACCTACTTTGGTTATAGAGCAGGATATTCGTTATGCTACTAATGGGGTATAAAAGATCCCCCAGTAAACTTGAACCTTGGCTTTTGTGACTAATGTATCTTAGAAATATCCTGAGAATTCACTGTCCAAACACAAAACATATTTTCTATAATTGAGAAAGTTCTCTAGGAGCTGCACCTGAGGCACTGGGACCTCTCCATATTTGCTTAAGCTTTCTGTCTGCAGCTGAACCATATTCTTTACATTTATTAGAACCTTATGTGAGTACACACTGTAAAATTTCATGGCATTGCAATTGTGCCCAGTATAATTACTTGCAAATATGTACAGATAAGTTTTGCAATTCTTGTCTCACCATTATATTTGGGTGTATGGGGACGCATAACTTGTCTTTCATTTTTAAGTTTCTGGATGAAAAGAAGCCACATTCAGAAAGCTTCAGCCACACACTCATCATTCAAATGTAAGGCATTAATAAACATCAATGTGTCTTTTTATTAGGATAGCACCTGAATTTTTCCTGCCTTATCTACGTACAGGATGGAATAACTCAGGATTTAAATATGTCTAGGAGATAACTTCAACAGATAAAGGGAACTGTGTCCTAAATAACATCTATAGTCAGGATTTTAATTACTTTGAATTGTGCTTTTGTTGCTATCCAAAGGCCATATGTTATTTCTGATTTTTCTTTTTTAAAATTTCAATGCATTTTGATCTGTGTAATAAGTACACTCAAAATATTGGGACTAAGTCATCTTTTTAATACAGTTTTTAAATATATTAAAAGTTTTTCAAAGGATTTTGTTAATCAATTTGTACCTTCTGGTTATATTGGACAGTACTATTTGGAAACACTGCTATGATTTGAATGTGTTCCCTCTAAAATGCAGGTGTTAAAACTTAATGGCAGTGTGATGGTATTAAGAGGTGAGGGCCTTGGTGTACCCATCAACCCATCATCTATATTAGGTATTTCTCCTAATGTTATCCCACCATGGCACATGTATACCTATGTAACAAACCTGCATGTTCTGCACATGTATCCCAGAACTTAAGGTATAATAAACAAAGAAAAAAATTCACCCAACACATCTTTCAAGGTTTAGATCACATTCTACCTTCTACAGAGAAAAAAAGAAAACACAAACAAAACTCCTCAAAACAATATAGTACTATAATTAGCCAGTTTTTATACTCATTAAGCCTTCACCTTAAGTTCAGTCTATATCCAAAGCAAATGTACACTGTAGATCATTGTTCTGTGTAGTTTTTGGATGTTTTCAGTCTTCCTATCTAGGTGGTTCAGTTGTAGATACAGACCTCTGAAAGGCAGTGTAACTGCAGAGCAAAGAGCTGTTTTATTTATTTATTTATTTATTTATTTATTTATTTATTTATTTATTTATTTCCTTTCTCTGTCTCTCTTTCCCCCGCCCCACGCCCCCCTTTCACAGACAGGGTCTCGTTCTGTTGCCCAGCTGGAATGCATCATAGCTCACTATAACCTCAAACTCCTGGTCTCAAGCATGAGCCACCATGCCTGACCCCATATAATTTCAATACTAAATTAGGGTTTCATTTTTGCTGCTGGTGTTGAATAGATTCATACCACAGATAACACCAAAGCTGTGATAACAGAGAAAACATTTTGAAAGGCTGTTACATTTCTCTTGGTTGAAACCATTTAAAATTAATAAGTCAGAAGTAGACAGGATTATTAGTCCTACTCTCAACTGGAGAGGACAAATACTACTTCCTACATACCTACATGTGAAGGTTACCAGGTTGTTGTCTTAACAGCCCACAGTCCTACTCATTCTCATATCAGGGTCTCCATATAGAAACATAGAAACACGTTCACAGTGTACTTCTTGCTTTATCTACAAATATCTTTACGGCGAACTGATTACACCAACATATTTTTCTTCCCAATTCATTTGGCAAAAGTATTTACAGTTGTTTAGAAAGACTATAGAATTACAAGTGCAGGAAAGGCAGCAAAGTTTCCAGCTCAGATTTTGATATGACATGTGTTGTATCTCAAACTAATTATAACTTTCTTTTTCTAGGGTTCATGAGGGATTTTCCTGATTGTTCCCACCTCCAGTGCTGCCAGCTTGCCCCTTTGCTCCCCTCCTTCTACCTATTTCCTACTCGTTATAATCTGATTTTATCTCTGCCTACTATCAATTAACCTATTCACTACATTCTAACCACAAGAGATTCCCATCTGTTGACCCTGGGCTGAGCATGTCCTGGAACTGATTTCATTTTTTCAGCAAGTATTTATTGGACATCTCCTGCATGCCAGCCAATGGGCCTTCTTTTCACTTTGACTTCTAGTATTCAGGTGTCCTCCACCTCTTCATGGGTTTTCACAAGACTTCTCACGTCCTAGCTTCACACTAATTTTATGTACAGTTACTCTTAACTTTAACGATTCTCAATAAGGTAATTTTTTGCCCTCTGTAAATTTCTCTAGTTCCAATTATATTCCCATTCAAATCGTTTTGTTTAGCTTTACTTTCTCTACCATCTTATGACATGTACTTTCATAATTTTGATGGACTTCAACCATCTTCTTAATCTGCTTTCTTTTAAATGCATGCCTAACTTTTGTACTAGCTAATTTATGTCTAAGATTTTGTTATCTTGATAAGCATCATTCATAGCTTTTCTAGCTTATTAATGTCTTTTCAGATATCATGTTTGTAGGGGATCAGTCAGTGTGGTTAGAAACATTGTAAGATGAAATTATAGAATATAGACACAAACCTTGGAAGGCTGGAAGGTTTGCATAGCTTCAGTAATAGATCTGGCATGAAGGCAGCCTAATCTTTACCTTGAGTAGATAGCTTAAAGTAGGTACAAAATAATGTAAGGGAGTTTATCTAAATAACTTGTTTACTCATGTGTTGCTAAGACTAACCTTTGATCATTGGCAGGCAGGATGGCTCTCTTGGGGGGAGGGCAACCAGGTTAATTACCCACAGGTGTATTGACTCAAAGTCTTTGTCATTTAATCTAACTAAATAAATACGAATTTGGCTGGCTTATCTGGGCAATGCTCCAGACTCAGAGCAGAGCCTCTTAGCCAGACTGACAGGCAAAATATCTGTGTCAGTGTAGGTCTCTCATGTGTCGCCAGGTCAGGGTCTGAGGGTTGGACCTCGAAAATGTTAACCTTTTAAGAAAAGGAAAAAACAATACATTACAGTGAATATCTTCTCCCCAGATAAGTCATCAGATTAACATAATGGACATAATACTTTAGATTTTCTTTAGGCAAATCAAATAAGGGCAGACCGATACAACACTCATCTCTTCTTTCTTTTATACTGTTTTTAAGAACATGATTGTTTAAAGAATATAAAGCACTTAATTTTTTGTTATGAACTTTCTAAATGGCTTATTTTAATAATCATAAGTTCAATTCTAAGCATTTGCATTGTTTATATACTCCTTCCTATAAGCCATTTTACCAGCTTCTCCACAGTTGTAGAACTAGCTTTAAGTGTTAAGTATCATAATAAGGCTTCCTTTGTAGTACCTGTTGAACACCTTCCTTTCAATTTTCCTGGCCTAATTCTCTGCCCCACCTTCTATCCCACCACCCTGCTTTTTTTTTCTTCAGAGAATTCAAACTCTATACTACCCATTCCCCTGGAATACTGCAATCCCTTCATTCATTTCTCTTGAATTTCTATACTGTGGCCTGTTACTAGCCATACTCTTAGTTCTTCCTTATTTTTTCATAGGTTCTCTCTTAATAAATGTGTTAATATGTTATCCTTTTAAACTAACATGAAACATAATTTATACTTGAATTTTTTAACTTGCGCTGAATATTATATCAGTATTGTGTTTCCTTATAATACATTTTAAAAGCTGTTCTAATATTTTATATTCCCATATTCCTTACTTTTGGAATTCACTTTTAGAATAAACTTTATCTTTCTTCATTTTAAACTAAAGAAAAAAAAAAAGAGAGGTGAGGGCCTTTAAGTGGTGACTAAGCCCTGAGGGCTTCTCCTTCATGAATGGGATTAAAGATCTTATAAGAGACTTCATGTAGCCTTTGGCTCTCTTGCTCTTCTGCCTAGTGCTATATAAGGATAGAGCTTTTCTCTCCTTCAGAGGACATAGAAAGATGCAATCTTGGAAACAGAAAATGCCCCTCACCACATAACTGAGCCTACCAGCACCTTGATTTTGGATCTCCCAGCCTCCAAAATGGTGAGAAAATAAATTTATCTTCTTTACCTATTAGCCAGTCTCTGATATTTTGTTATAGTAGTACAAATGGATTAAAATGCACTGGCATTTATTAGGGTTTTGTTGTTTTATGTCAACTTCTGACTTATATTCCTGGGTAGTAAACCCAATCTAATGATTATTTCTTTCAGAGGAAATAAAAGTACAGGGAGACTTATCCAGATGCTATTTTGAATGAGTGTTAAGCAAATCCATCTCAGTTGAACTATAGATTTGACATTAAGAGGAAGTTAATGCAAGAACATAAGGCTTAAGAAGTACACATCCACATAAAAGTTTAATCCAATACACTTTTCCTGTTACTAAGAAAAAGCAAGATAAAATACCTGTGAACCAGTGGGCATCTAGAGGTTGTGTCCCAGAGGATAGCAACATTTAACAAGACAAAAATCTCAGTAATCAAATGCAGGATCTGGATTGAAGGAAGAAACACATTACGAAGACAAATTTGAAACTAAGAAGTCGGGGAAGGTGAGAATCCAAAGACAGCACTGTGCCGAAAGGCAGATAAGATTATGCCAACATCAAGCATATCTTCACATTGATATTAACAGCCAGAAACATGAATTTATCTTTTGACACCGCCTCACTCAGCTTTATGATGGCATTAATCTCAATACTCTTATGATTTTGACTTGAAACAAATGTAAAAATATAAATGAATAATAGAGGACATATTGCCAATATTACTAATAAATATTTAGTAATACATTATAATGTTATCTAAAACTCAGTATAGAAATCTCTGAGGTCCAGATCGAAAAAATGCCTCTGTAATGTTAGGTCAGAAAGATGCATTTGCACTTCCAGAGGATCAGGACGTTGTGTTCTTGCATAAATGGCTGTGAGGGCTGCTAACCACATTCTTGATTGGTTTATGGGAAATTGGAATAAACTTGTGGCCTATGTTAAACAGGTTAAGATGCCAGGATCTTCTTTTCCTGAGGCAGAGACATGAATCCAAAGTCTTTGGGCATTAGAAATGCTAAAGTAAATTTATTATGTTTGACTCACTTACTCATCCCTTTAGTACTGAGAGGGCATGGGAAAATCCATTGGTGAAGGAGTTCACAAATCCTCAAAAATATTTATAATAGCTGACAATAGAAGAATAGCTGACATTACCATTAAAAAGGGCAACCTGCTGTAATTGTTAGTAGGAGCTCCCAGAAAAGCAGAGTTCTGGGGGCAGCACTTAACTACCACAAACAAGGTAATGATTGTAAAGAACAGCATGGATCAAGCAGGAACCAGACTGGAGTTCAGGGATATTTGGCAGTAATGAGTTTATTATGGTCTCCCTAGAACTGAAATAGAAGGACAGCTTAGTATGAGTCCTTATTTGACCTGCAAAACTGGGGGGAAACAAAACCCAAAACTCCCACTGATATGAGGAATGAAAGATAAGATGGGCACTAAAGATAAAAGTGTAATAATGGAATATTCTGAATGACTTAATGTCAATAAATTGAAAGCAGTTAAAGAAATTTAAGAAACAGTATTATAAAGGTATTAGAATAAATTATAACATACTTCGTGGTCTTAGAATACAGGAAGTTTCCTTAAGCAACTTATTTCTTAGAAGGATAACTAAGTAGTCAACAGATATATAAAACTAGTTGAGGAACAGCCAAAGAAACGTAAAAGAGCAACAGCAATGTATATATATTTTACTGTCTACATATACACACATACACACACACACAGATTTACAAGAAAAAATGTATCATAAATATTCAGTGTAAAGTGAGGGAATTTTTAAATACAAAATTTTAGCATTAAGGTCTTCATCTCTAATTAGCATAAAACTAACAAAAATATGAACTAGAAAATAGTGTCTATATCTTGAATCATTGGCTCTACTCTTTTTGAAAAAATAGCCACACATTTAGCTGTCGTATATTTACATAATTTACTTTGAAAGTTTAAAGTTATGCTATTCGGATATTAACAGGTACTTTTCCATTTGAAAATGCTGATTTTCTTTACTTGAGATTCAGTTAAGACTCAAAGGAGAGAATACGGTATGGATATCTAAATATAGTTGAAGATATATTTCCTTTTTTATTCTTTAAGTTGAAAATTTTGTGCAATTGACTTCCCTTATAAAGAATAACCATGTACGCCCTATAGAATAATATGACTCACAAACCTGACTTTAATACACATGGCTAGGCTTTTCACTATGTGCTTAAATATGATTAATTAGAAATGCAAATTGTGATCGAACAACCATGGTAGAACTGAATGGCTGCACGTAAATGAGTTTTATTTTATTAATTCATAAGCAAACATGTATCATCCATGAATAGAATTTGAGCTAAAATTCAAAACATAAAATATGTTGCAAACGTCCTCTAAGTTTGAACTGTAGTTAGGCATATATAATGCAGAGTCCCAAAACTGATGAATCATACATCTTCTAAGGCAATACTTTAGAGTTCAGTAAAAGATACAGAACTTGTAAGTATAAGCTGAAATGCAAGTTATATCAGGATTATGGTATTGTTTATATCTATAAATGTATATATTCTTATTTAGATGTTTTATATCTAGATATACATGTTCAAATTAAGTCAAAACAAAATGTATCTACCTTTAAAAATCTTTTCATAATGTGTAAAACAGAGATAAGTAGACTTAAAAATTCTGTACCACTTTTCCAAGCAGCTAAGTAGAACATTTATTCAATGTAATTTAACGAGATTATCTGAAAAATGTAAGGAACACCATTTGAAGTTTGCCACTATAATTTATAACATGACGGGTTGATGTTTGACAATATTTATCTTATTATGGAAGTTACATTGGCTGCATACAGTTGGAGAAACAGATTTTAATATGTTTTATAGATAGGAATAAGGTAACAATGGAATTATTGGTACAGGATAGCTCCACATTGTACACTCTGATATACTGAATGCAAGGATCAAAGACATACCATGAATATATTTTAGAAAATTACATATACATACTTAAAATTTATAGAATGAGCTTACATATATCTAGTACAAGATGGCATACAAACTTGGAAATATTTCTAAGAAAAGTTATAATCATATTTGTATAAAAATTTAACTATTTTGATATCAGAAAGGTGGCATTTGACAGAGAAATCATGTGATTTTTCTCTGTGCGTTATTTAAAACATTGAAATGTGTTTGCTTCAGGACATAAATAATCATTCTGCTAAGTGTATTAATTACTCACCAGGTTTCATTTATAATAGTAGATACAGTGGTAGAATAAACAGACTTGCCTAATTTATTTTTGACTTAGTACACATTTTTCTACTTTCAGAATTTCTACAAAAATAGGAAAAAATACTTGGTATGATGGGTCTTTTCTCATTTTTAAAAAGCCTGACAGCTTCTTTAGGGAGGGCCTACTTCTACGTGTCTGTCACATTCAGGGACTAATTGGGTTCCTATTTCATTCACTTGGCATTTGTAAAGAACTCTCGGGATGTCTTGATATGCAAAATAATTTTATATTCAAAATTCAGGACTCCTAAGCCCTAAAAATAAATATTCTAAACTGGTAACCCACTTAAATAATGGAGGGCTAATAATTGTGTTTAAAATAATTATCATACAGCCTAGGAATCAGCTTTTACTTCACAAGTCCACACTAACATAGCTAATTGAAAACTCTACATCTTTATTTATAATATATGTAAAATGGACATCTTATCAGAATATGTAAAAAACTTGAATACTTACCACCTGCCCAACCCCCCACATCTGGATCAACAACTTCCCTTTCCTGGATTCTTCTCTGTAAATAAGTCCATATTTTTCTTGAGCCAAACACTTATAGTCATATTTGAATCTCCTCATTTCATATCTATTCCACAAAATAATCCTGTTGATGTTTCCTTGAAATTTATTCAAAAACTAGTCTCTACTTACAGTTTACATCACTACCACCAGGTTCTTCCATGATCATCTTCTCTTTTACCTTTGAATCAGTTTTCATAACTGATCCATTTGCCTCCAGTTTGCCCTTAAACCTATTCTCTCCTAATATAATCTTACTAAAATATATGTAACATCATGTCATGGCTCTACTCGAAACCTTCTAATAATTTTGAATCTTAGTCAAATTCCAAAGTCCTTATGTCTTTAAGGAATTTCATGAGCTAGAACCTGCTATCTGCTGAATCTCATTTCCCAATATCCTCACTTGCTCACTGCCTTTCAGACACTCTTGCCTCTTTGTACTTCTACAGTTTCAACAGGCATACTCCATTCGGAGCATTTGCAATTGCTCTCCCCTCACCCAACATGTTTTCTTTCTAGATATTCACATGGCTCAATTGCACACTTCCTTCAGAATCTGTTCAAATGTCATTATTACAGAAATTTGTATTGACTGATATAAAAGCAATATAGTGACAGTCCAAATCATTTGAAGTATTTTGTTTTATGTAATTCTTTTTTTGTGTGTTTGGATTTTCTTTTCTATTATTTTTTTTATTATACTTTAAGTTCTAGGGTACATGTGTATAATGTGCAGGTTTGTTACATATGTATACATGTGCCATGTTGGTGTGCTGCACCCATTAACTCATAATGTACATTAGGTATATCTCCTAATGCTATCCCTCCCCCATCCCCCTACCCCATGATACGCCCCAGTGTGTGATGTTCCCCTTCCTGAGTCCGAATGTTCTCATTGTTCATTTCCCACCTATGAGTGAGAACATGTGGTGTTTGGTTTTTGTCCTTGTGATAGTTTGCTGAGAATGATGGTTTCCAGCTTCATCCATGTCCTTACAGAGGACATGAACTCATCATTTTTTATGGCTGCATAGTATTCCATGGTGTATATTTGCCACATTTTCTTAATCCAGTCTATCATTGATGGACATTTGGGTTGTTTCCATGTCTTTGCTATTGTGAATAGTGCTGCAATAAACAAACGTGTGCATGTGTCTTTATAACAGCATGATTTACAATCCTTTGGGTATATACCCAGTAATGGAATGTCTGGGTCAAATGGTATTTCTACTTCTATATCCTTGAGGAATCGCCACACTGTCTTCAAGAAACTACCATCAGAGTGAACAGGCAACCTACAGAATGGGAGAAAATTTTTGCAATCTGCTTATCTGACAAAGGGCTAATATCCAGAATCTACAAAGAACTCAAAAAAATTTATAGGAAAAAAACAACCCCATCACAAAGTGGGCGAAGGATATGAACAGGCACTTCTCAAAAGAAGACATTTATGCAGCCAAAACACACATGAAAAAATGCTCATCATCACTGGTCATCAGAGGAATGCAAATCAAAACCACAATGAGATACTATCTCACACAAGTTAGAATGGTGATCATTAAAAAGTCAGGAAACAACAGGTGCTGGAGAGGATGTGGAGAAATAGGAACACTTTTACACTGTTGGTAGGACTGTAAACTAGTTCAACCATTGTGGAAGACTGTGTGTTCTATGTATTTCTTGATAAATCTTCATTGTTAGCATGTAATTAAGAACCCAATCTTTCAATATGCTCTCTATATGCTCTCTAGCTTTTTTTAGAGAAACTTATTACATATATGTGTTTCTTTTATTTTTGTCAATTATGTGATGATTAGCTGTATCTGCTTTTTTGTTCTTAATTATATACTCAGAATAATGTTGCAAAAGAAAAAGTATTTAAT
This sequence comes from Homo sapiens, assembly GCF_000001405.40. NCBI lineage: Eukaryota > Metazoa > Chordata > Mammalia > Primates > Hominidae > Homo > Homo sapiens. Next base: position 59,771 of record NT_187597.1, read on the forward strand.
AACAGAACATAGTACATGGATTTATTTCACAAGAATATATTTCTTGAAATTTTAGACATTATTTTCTTGATCATAAAATTCAAGAAAACCCTCTCAAGTGTCCTCTGTACTTATTTAATGGATTTCTGCTTTAATATGTATTGGAGATGACTGAAATAGTGAGTGAATCCAGGCCATAAAAATGGTCCTGAAGGAAAAAATAGACATTAGGAAATATGAGACAGAAAACCATTTTACTATTAAGTCCAATAGAACATAATGTAAAGTTGGAACTAAAGAGAAAAAGGAACGTTAGATTACACAGTCACTGACAATATTAAATATGACTTCAGAAAATTGTGGAATAAGAAAATATCTTCAAGTATGTGTGACAGGCAATAAATAAGCTTTAGTGGCAAAGTTTTTTGATTTTGTAGAACACACAAAAAAAGTGCATGGTTAATAATTTATTCAGGTTTACTAAAAACTTAAACCAAGGTAAGAAAAATAACTTTGATCTTTGTGAAAGCAGAATGAAAGTAGTAATTAAAATTTAAAAAGTAAAATTAGTATTTGGAAATTGTATTAATGTAGAACTAAATGAAGGACAAATTATCACAATGCCTAAGTATTTTTTTCTTCCAAGATGAAAAGAATGTTGTACAGGTAAGAGGAGGTAGTCTGCTCTCAACAAGTGCATGACACCTGGGAAGCTTTTAACTAGACAATGTGGCATGAAGAGGGAAAGCTAATGATACTTTCTACTCTCGAGTTCTGATACTTCCATAGAAAAACAAAATAGACCAGGCAAATTTGCATACATGTATGAATATAATTGGATAAAATAGGAGAATTTGAGGAAGTGCTACATATTCAGAGGGCGATAACCAAAGGCATACTTTATACTTATGAAGGCTGCTGGAATTAAGCTATACCTTTTAGAAAGATGGGGCTCAGCTTGTAATTAAACACAAATATTTGCAAGAAAAGGGAGAAGTTATAGGTAGAAAAACATAGGAAAAGGACGATCACATATTGGTCACCTGTATTGTTCCAAACAATTTGCAAGAATTACTTAATTTTCAAAAAACCCTTGGATATCATTATTTCCTTTCTATTAGTTGGAAAAGTACTATTAGGAGAACTTTCAGGTCAGACTGCTAATAAACAGTGTCATAGCTTGAATCTCAGTGTAAGTAAAAATCATATTCTCACTATGACACTTACATGGCATGAACCTGTACTAGCATCTGAAGTACAACAAAATAAAATGAAAACTCATGTGTAGGTTTATCATAGAATGTAACAAATTAATTTTTGAGACAATTAAGCTTTTTTTGTTTTGTTTTTCTAAGAGAAACTGTGATTCTAAGAAGTAACTTATGGTTATTCAAATATCTCAGGGAAATTTTTAGAGCTATATTTGGGAATGATTACAGAAGAATGGTAGAAACTGTTCTAAGCCAGTGGTTCTCATAATTAAGCCTGTATCACAATCATCTGAGGCCTAAAAGTTCACATTTCTAGCTAGTGCCCAGGTGACCTGATGCTGCCGGGCTAGGGGCCTTACTTTGGGAGGTAACAAGACATCTGAATAGAGAGACACATCATAGAAATAGTCATCTGGTCCTACTAGTGTTTTGAGACCCCTGAAAAAAAAAGGGAGTAGGATTTGGGTGATATTATCTTATTACTGATTATGACAAACTTTTAATTATACTTAAATTCTTAAGTTGGTCCTCTAATTCACTGTAAAGGATCTAAATTAATATATAAGCACTGCTTTAAATTCCAGAAAAGCTTAAGAACAGAATAAATGTATTACCACCCAGCAGAAGAAAATGTACTATCTTTAAAACTGAAGCTTGCTGTTTAAAAATGCTTTTGTTCCCTCAGTGCAGTACAAATATAGTCTGCATATTTTATAAAATAATTATTTTGATTTTGAATATATATTATTTTATTTCAATACATTCAGTAATTCTAAATAAAATGCATTCATAGAGTTAATGTGTCTAGGTTATGTAGTAAAATTCATTTAGTAATTTTAAATAAGTGTAGTCACAAATTTTACTTTCTTCTGCATTTCACTAGACAGATCTCTCACATTTATACATTATAACAACAACAACAAAAAGTAGGAACAGATGGGAGAAAGCTTTCCTTCATGTTCATTACATTTTACATTTTCTCACCTAAAGCATGAATTTGTTTGATTATAGAGTGCTTGACAAACTAAATAGTTATCTCTAGTAAATTAAAGTAATTCACTTCACCTGTTGAACATAATTGTTTCTTCATAATTGGATCCTTTAAATAATTTTTAAACAGCAAACATAACATTTGCTGTTGCATATAAAATTGGATGATAATATCTAACATTATCACATGGTGGCAAAAACAATGGTTTCTTTAATTTTGAGAATGTTGAATACCCTAAATGTGCATATTCCTAAATAAATGAATTAATTTAAACTAGGCATATTATAATTTTACATTTACTTGAAAAAATAGTAATATCTTTGCAAGTATAGAGTTAACTAAATGAAAATGAATGTTTTATTGTTTTGAACCACATAAGTCTGTGTTTAAATAATGCTATAACTAAAATATTTAGTTGGTATTAGTTTGTACTGTTTGAAAACAGGATAGGATTCAAAGAAGTAAATATTGCTTTCTGATAAGATTTTCTAAATAAATGGTTTAATGCTTAGAAAGATGTTAGGGTCAGCAATTTCCAGCCGGAAAATGTAATTCTGAATGCCAAGTTCATGGTATTCAAGCTCTTCTGCTTTAAATGTCAGGGCTGTTTGCCTGTATCAAGCACTGGACTGATAAATGCAGTCAAGGAAATAGAAAACAGAAATGAAATTAAATATGACATATAGAAGAGCAGAGGAGAGCACTGAAAATTCACATCCTTTATTGGAAAATAAACAATACTTGAATTAAATTTCTGAGAATAGATCAGGTTGTTTTAAAATTTATATTCATCAAGTCATAAAATTAGAAAAATTTAATAAGTAAGCAGACTTTTGTACAGCCCAATTAACAAATAAAATCAAATATTTTTTCTCATTGTAATCAAAAGTTACAGACAGTATTTTCCTAGGAAGGAAATATTGAACAACATTTTTGTTGAAATTTAACTACCATTTTTCTTACTTGCTTTTTCTTCTCCTTTTTTGAACATAGGAAATATTTACACCTATTTTCCCAAACTTTTGTTAGATGAGTGCTTATGTAGCATGTTGCTGATTGGCAACTTATTTCTCTTTAGTCATAAAGGATCAGAGAATGTATTCCCATTACATGTCATCACTTCAAGTAGGATGTAAATCTAGAATGATATAGACTAACACATCTCCATTCAAGTTTTTATGCATAAACTATATATTAGGTGTTGGACCACACAGTTTATTTCTAATCTATATTTTGGTTGTTAGCAGTGAGAGAGAATACTGTGAGAACATGTGAGAGAATAATGAAGTAAAATAAATGAAATACATGAAAAAGAATGTATTATAAGGACTCATGGGTCATAAAGAAATAAGAACACTGTTATCTACATTACAAGAATGTAAAATCTCAACTATACTTTTTCATCTTACTATATCCTTTTATACATAGAAGTTATATTGCTCTCATTTTATATATAATGTCCTTCGTAGTTATTGCCAATATTGCATTTTGATTTTTAGAGCCAATTATGCCTAATTAAAAAACATTTTTTTATGGCAGCTATGCAATAAAAACTATTGAATATATTTAATGCAATATTAATTATATTTTTAATATATAGCAAATAACTTTAAATAAAAAAAGTATCAGCTATTCTAAGTTAAATAAAAGGCCCAACTTGAATTGAGCATATACTCACTGAGACAAGTTAATTACTGAATATTCCCTTTTGATCCATTTTTATTGTTTCTGGTGGAAGAGATTCACATGTGCTCTCATGAAATACATAGTTAGATAAAATGAATAAGGTCTAGTATTTGATAGCACAACAGAGTGACAACAGTTAATAATTTATTGTATATTTTAATTAAAAGTATAATGGAATGTTTGTAAAACAAAGAAATGCTAAATGCTTGAGGTGATGAATACCCTATTTATCCTGATGTGATTATTATGCATTGTATGCTTGCATCAAAATAGCTTGTGTACCCTACAAATATATAAATACCTACTATGTACCCATAAAAATTAAAAATTAAAAGTACATGACAAAATGTGTTCCATTACAAGTGGATTTTAATATTGTGCATATTTTATATGGATACACAAAAACAAGTTTATAAAACTACATTTAAAATAATATGTATTACATGATAATATATTTTAAACTATAGATAATATATAACTGATTTGATAAAGTAACTCAATAGAGTTTATCATTGGGAGTGCATTTTATAAAATATAACTAGATATTATAGCACTAAGGCTATTTTTATTTCTTTTCTTTGGATTAATTGAAAACATGTATTGTAGACTTATAAATGTCAGAATTTGTATGTATTTGGCTTTATCAGACTTTCTGGAGGATTATTAGGTAGAGTACATACTGAGAGAAGGAACATCTTTGAAATATCTTTGAAATGAGTTAGTTGAGGGATCCTACAGATTCAAATGCGATATAGTGAACTCCAAAAAGAGACAGACATGTTTATGGAATTTCATAGCATTAATTTTTCATTTCATTCATCACCATAAAAAAAGACCAGAAAATGGCTTACACACCCCATGAGATTAAAATAACCAAGAATCAAGACGAATAAATGTTTTATTTCTATTTTCACTTTGAATGGACACAATTGGCCCTGCATTATGACTAGATAAAATTTTTTAGATTGAGCAAGATGTTATATTATTTATTGAGCAAGATGTTATATTTAGATGTTATATTAGGATCCAGAAATTTAGAGTAAGTCCTCTCAAAATATAAAATGTGTTGTATTAGATTATTGCAAAGTTACTTTGCATGTTATCTTAGGTCATTAAAATTCTTAAAGAAATGTGAAGACTATGGTTATTTAGATAAAATTAAATATGCAATTTTCTTATGAGTTAAAATGTCAAAGAAATCTTAGGTGTACATGTAAAAATGCTACGGATTATTACTATTTTTAATCAGAATACGTCAGTTAAAAAACTTAAATGGTATTTAATATTGCTATATCTTGCCATTGGTCTAGGAATAGAAAAAAATCCTGACATAATTAAAATTTCTAGTTATAGTCTTCCTATAAAAATTACATAAAATATATAGCAGTTAATAGCAAAAAATAAAAATCAAGAAATTAAAACATACTACCAGGAAAAAAGTCACTTTTACCCAAAGAAAGACAGGAAGGAAAGAAAGAGGGAAAGGAAGGAGGAGAAGACAAACAAAACCACCAGAAAAAAAAAATGGTAGTAGCCAGTCCTTATCTATCAATACAAAAAACAATTGTAAAGAATGATACTATACAAGCTATGAATCTCATGTCGCACTAAATACAAAGACATATGATCGAACGGTGGAGAAGAAAAACTGACGGTTGACAGAAAACCTTCATATAGAACCAAAGTTTATGTTAGCATTAAAGAGAAATCCCCTAAATTGTATTTGAAAACAGGCTCATGATTGCTGAAATGGAGAAAAACAAAAATTTTGATGAAATAAATTTATTATAACATTTTGATAGACTGAAAACCCTTAATTATTGTGAACAAATGAATCTTTATATACAGAAAAGCAATTTAGTCATAAATTTTATTGAATCTTTAAGAAAACTACATATTGTAATCTTAAAAGAATACATATTGTAATAGTTATCTTTACATAGTGTAATAGTAATCTTGTACAGTTATCTGTAAGATTTGGAACTTAAATATTTGTGGTCTTAATTTCCATTGATACTACTTTATTTATTTATTTTTTTTTAAGATTCAGGAGGTACAAGTTCAGGGGGTATATTATGTAATGCTGGGGTTTGGGCTTCTAGTGAATCCATCATGCAAATATTGAACATAGCACCTACTACATAGTTTTTCAACCCTCATACCCGTTCCAACTTTTTTTTTTTTTTTTTTTTTTTGGAGTTCCCTGGGTCTTTTGCTTCCATCTTTCTGTTCATGTGTACCCATTGATTAGCTACCACTTATGAGTGAGAACTTGTGGTATTTGATTTCTGTTTCTGAGTTATTTCACTTAGGATAATGTTCTCCAGCTGCATCCTTGTTGGTGTGAAGAACAGGATTTCATTTTTTATGGTTGTGTGGTATTCCTAGATGTATATGTCCTAAATTTTCTTTATCTAATCCACCAGTGTTGGACACTTAGGTTGACTCCATGACTTGGTATTGTGAATAGTGCCACAATAAACTTACCAGTGCAGGTGTCTTTTTGATAAAACAATTTCTTTTTCTTTGGATAGATACTCAGTAGTAGGATTTTTAGTTGAGAAATCTAAGTATTAAATAGAGAGGAAATGAAAGTTTCACCTGAATTTTTATTTTCACTTTTTATTTTTTGAGACAGGATCTCTGTCATCCAGACTGGAGTGCGGTAGCATGACCACTTATGACACTCTAGAACTCCTGGGCTCAAGCAGTCCTCCTACATCAGCCTTCGGAGTAGATGAAACTACAGGCTTGCATCACCACACCAGCTAATTTTTAATTTTTTAGAGACGGGGCCTCCTTATGCTGCCCAGGCTTGTCTGGAGCTCCTGGGCTCAAACAGTTCTCTCATGTTGACCTTCCAAAGTGCTGGAATTACAGGTATGAGCCACTGTGCCAAGCTTTGACCTCATTTTTTAAAGCACAGGAATATAATGCTATTTTCATCATTTTCATTCAGTTAGAACAATTATGGTAAACAACGTCTGAAACTTAGACATTTCTCAAAGACCTAAACCATTTAAAATGATATTTACATTTCATACTTTTTTCTTTTTCCTAATAGTTTCCTTTCCTTTGTAATATTATAGCTGAAAAGAATTCAATTGAATAAAATCAGATTCTTTTATAATCATAAAAGGCATAGTTATGATTTTCTGATTTATAATTAACAATTTACTTTTGGCAGCAATTAAATATTGAAGCTTTATTATGTACCAACTACTTTTATGTGTGCTGTTATATAAATGGGTTAAAGATGGTTCTAGTATGTTGACCTTCTGTTTATGGTGGGCTTAAAAGCCCACTGATACCAAACTCAAAATGTCAACAATCCAATTGCTTTAAATATAGCCTCTTTAAACAAAATTTTTAAGCCATTAGAGTCTGCCTGCTTTGCATACTCAGCCAAACTGCACCCAACATCTGCTAGCCATAGATAAAATAATTTATGGGGTTATAATAGACCTAAGCCTGTTATACGTCATTTGGAATACTCTGACCCAAAGACTTCCCATCAAAATATATGAGCTCTCGCTCCAATCTTTCTACCTGTGAGTTCTGCTGCCTATGAGTTCTCCTCGCCTTCTGGATCATGGCCCCAGACTGATGCCTCTTGAAGTTTTTGTGCTATGATAGACTTTCTTCTGCTCCTTCATGTCATCCTGTCAATGTGCTGTTTAAATAAAATTTGTTATGTGTTACTGCTTCCTTGTGGCCGTGTATTTTGCCTTTTGAGGGATCAGCCTCTACATCTCTCAAACACACTACAGGTGCTTGATTAAATATAAACATAAAAATGCAAGTCAATTCATATATTCAAGAGCCTACATGTAAAAATATATGTTAATGTAAATATGAATTATAAGCAAACAATTTGGATGAGAAAAATTAAGAATACTTAGAATATATAAATTAAGTACAGAACAATGATTTTGTCTTTCCCTTGGCTTTTTATTTGCAAACCTGTGGTTAAGGAAGAGGTGATACACAGGGTAGAAAATAAATTGTACAAACTAATTCAAGTGAATGTATTTAATACCAAATCAATGTAGCCCTACTATAGCAACAAAGTACTTATTTTGGGTGTTGAACTGTCTTTGATGTGGCTGAAATCCAATCACAATATTAAAAGAAAATACACTAGGCTAGGCATAGGATTAAGCACATAAACAAGTAGAAAATCATTGTAAATGATGGCTTCAGTTCAACACAAATACAATTAAATAAACCAAAACTTCTAGGACTAGCAAAGGGGAAAGAATTCTCAAAGATACTCTTTTCTCTGGCTTTCCATATTGAAAATAATTTCTCATTTTGACAATATAACCTGATAAAAACCTTCCATCTGTGATGGTTAATACTGAGTGTCAACTTGATTGGATTGAAGGATGCAGTATTGATCCTGGGTGTGTCTGTGAGAGTGTTGCCAAAGGAGATTAACATCTGAGTCAGGGGATGGGGAAGGAGACCCCCCTTAATCAGGTAGGCAAGACCTAATCAGCCGCCAGCAAATATAAAGCAGGGGAAAAAACGTGAAGCAAAGAGATGGGCCTAGCTTCCTAGCCTACATCTTTCTCCTTTGCTGGATGCTTCCTGCCCTTGAACATCAGACTCGAAGTTCTTCAGCTGTGGGAATCGGACTGGCTCTCCTTGCTCCTCAGCTTGCAGACAACCTATTGTGCGACCTTGTGATCATGTAAGTTAATAGTTAATAAACTCCCCCTTTTTATATACATATTATTTAATAAACTCCCATATATATGTATATATATACGCACACATATATATACTTGTGTGTGTATACTTATACGTGTGTATACATATATATTATATATATATATATATCTCCTATCAGTTCTGTCCCTCTAAGAGAACCCTGACTAATATACCATCTATATAAAGATGTTTACTTTTTCACTGAAGTCATTTTGTGTTTACTTTTTTACTCAAATGAGAAATCAAGTGAACATTTGAACATTTTCTGGGCAACAAAAATGTAAAGAATGAAGAAACTATTCACCACAGTTGCCACATATTTAACAGGAATTTTGAGGTGAGAAAATAAAGCAATTCAAACTGATAGATGTAACCAGCATGAGGAACATGGTCTGATTCAGTAAAATATTGCTTAGCATTTTTAACAAATGTATGCATGTATAAAGTATATGAACATTCTAATGTTGATGTTTAAAACATTTGGCAGCAGTGAGAAGATACGTGTTCATTACAGAGCTCTGCTGCCAGACTCTACAAGCAGCAACTATATCCCTCCTCACCTCACCTAGGTTTTAAATTATTTTCCTCTATATAACAGTGAAAAAAAATTACAAAATAAGAAAGTTTATCTTGAATTCTCCAAGCCTGTCTGATTCCTTTCTCCGTTTCTTGCTTACTTCTTTTTTCTCCATTACCTTCACTTCTTTTCCTTTTCTTTTTTCTATCCACGCATTCTTTTGTTCATCTAGGAAATATTTATTCAGTATCTAACACACAGGAAAGATTTGACGGTGGGCTTTCATGTAAAACTACATCTAGTCCTAAGACTTTGGTAGAGTATTAGAAGAAATTCAGATAACATAGAACTGTAACTCTGAAATACTTCTCACCACCAACTCTTTGAGATTCATTTATATCCTTACTTATACATGGATATTTCTAAACTAATTTGATTATTTAGCTAGCATTATATAAGTGGCACATTTTTATTACGTTATAGATATTTGTAATATGTCACAGACTAAAAATAAAATAACGTAGAATGACTAAAAATTTTTAAGTACATTTTCTTTTAACTGTAGTGGTTATCTATGGAATCTGCATGAAAGATGAGGATTTAGCTGACTTATACTGCCTCCACTTTTTCTCTTCCCTTTCCTTAAAATGTGCAGTAATGCAGTTTTATATCTTCCATTATATGCCTTTAAATACTGTACTTGAAACTTATTTACCTCTTTTCTACATTTTTCCTCACTCCCTTGTCATAACTAGCTAACCTGTGTTTTGGCTATAGGTTGATTCAAAAGGTTGAAAAGCAATAAGGACATAATTATTGATAAATAAGTAATGTGTGATTATTATATAATTATAAATATTTATACTTTTAAAAAGTATATATTTTTATATTTTTTAAAAAACACTTTGTTTTCATTGCTGACAAAAAATGTGTTAGTATTGCAGTTTCTTCCCCATGAGTCCAAAATAGTGCACTACTTTAAGTATAGGATCCACATCTTCATTCTCAAATGAATTACCTTAAACTCTATCAACTACTCAAGAACATTTGTCTGAATATGTTTGAAAGAGTGATATAGGTGAAACCTGATAGAAATAATTTGAAAAGAGAATTGTAAGTGGATGAGTCATGCTGGAAAATGGGTCAGCAAATAGAACATCAATGCGATTTCACAATGAATTAGAGTAGTATTTGACTGCAGAACACATATCAAAACAAAATGTGATTATGAGAAAAAAACTATTTAACTTATAGTGGTTAAACACACTGTACTATTAAACAACTTCAATGGAATTAAGATTTGACATCTTCTTGTTCAATTTTTCCAATAACACTTAGAGTGACTTATATCGGCAGGAATCATTCATTTTTTTCTGATGATAGCTCTTTAACAAAGTAAGAGAAAAATCAAACTTCAAGTGCTCTAAGTTTCTTCATCACGGAAAAAATAGATTATAGCATAAAGTTAGCATTTACATATACAGCATACATATATAAAATATAAACTGGATTTGTAGTTTTATTAAATACATAAGTAACAGTTAAATAAAGGTATTTTAGTCATAAGATAATAATTCAGCGAGGCTTGGTGGTGAGTGCTTACACTCTTAGCTACTCAAGAGGCTGACATGGGAGGATCACTTGAGCCCAGGAGTTTGAGTCCAGCTGGGGCAATGTAGCAAGACCCCATCTTTTTCCAAAAAAAAAAAAAAATCCTGCTATGTTTAATAGGATTTGCTTAAAAAATTGCACTGAAAATCTTATTCACTCTTGTTTGATTTGATAAGCTTCAGCCTTTCTACAAATTCAGTCATTTTAAATAAAATTTATCAGGCTCCTTTACCTTTCTGACTATATATATATAGCCTACAGTTACCTTAAATTTATTTCTTTATTCCTTCCCCTTTTTCTATATTCACTTTCTGCATGATTATTGAGTATGACTATGTAATGATAACTCTAGTATCTAACGGGAATAATGAATAAAAAGAGATATATTTTCTGTCAGATTTTCTTAGTCCATTTAAATTGTTATAACAAAATACCATAAACAGTGTAGCTTGTAGAAAACAGGTATTTTTTTTTCTCACAGTTCTGGAGTCTGGAATTCCAAGATAAAGATGCCAACAGATTCAATGTCCAGGAATGATCCAGTTACTGTTTCATGGACAGCAGTCTTTTCACTGCGTCTTCAGATGGGGAAAGAGGTGATGAGTCTCTCTTGGGCATCTTTTATGAGAACACTAATTCAAGTTTTGAAGGTGTACCCCAGTGACCTAATCACCTCCCAAGGGCCCCACCTCCTAGGACCATCACATTAGCGGTGAGGATTCTATCAGATACGTTTCAGAGGTATAAAGAAACATTCAGACCATAGCGCCAACACACACAAATATTCAGACCATAGCACCAACATATACAAATATATACAAACTCACATTTTCATGAAGCTTATATTTTAACCTAGTGCTTTTCAAACTGTCATGTACATAAGAATTTACTGGGGATTTTGCTAAAATGCAGATTCTGAAGTTGGGTTCTGAGATTTACAAGCTTCTAGGCGATTCTAATGCTACTGGTCCGAGAGTCATATAGTGGGTAGCAAAGTTCTAGTCCATGTGGGTGGTACAATGGTATAACGTATTAAAACGGAGAGTCCTTACTAAAAGCTAAAGAACCAAGACAAGCAAAGCCAAAAGTTTTCAGTGATGCTGAAACCCCAATGTCATGAATAGAGTCTGAATGTGTGTGTTTATTTGTGTGTGGTCAGAGTCCAGGAAGGTAGTTGAGTGACAGTGGGGGCTAGCTATGTTATGTGATAGTATAACATAGTATGTGATAGTATCTGCGATAGTATGTGTGTAAGTGCAAGGATGAGTTGGAAGTGGTTGCCTGAAACAATGATTAACATGTATAGTTTTCTTTTTATTGGCTAACAGTGCTTGTGTATCAGGACCGGGTGACTCAGTCTCTCAGTCTAAGAAGTCAGTATAGTAGATAAACTGATTATCATCTTTTATATACATATGCATTGGGTTGTAGTGGCAGGCATTTTATTCTTGTATTCTCAAAAATGCAACTCCTAAGTATATGAATATTCTCCCATTTGAATAGACTTATTGTAATATATAAGAAAATTAAATATACCCCAATATCGTATTGTTTATATTGTAGATTCGTTCCGTGTCCACTGAGTATATGTGTCCCACTGTTGTTGGCTAGAGGGTACTATAAATGTCAATTAGGTCGAGTTGGTTAATAGTGTTGGTTCAGGTCTTCTCTATACTTACTGGTTTCTGTCTAATTTTTCTAGCATTTACTAAATGTAAAGTGATGAAAGCTATGAAAATAATTGTCAATTTTTCTATCTCTTCTTTTGGTTCTATGGGGTTTTGCTTTGTGTTTTGAAGCTTTTCCTAGGTATGTATACGTTTTAGATTTTTGTACCTTCTTAAATAGTGAACAAAATTATCAGATATCCATTTTTATTTCTCACATTTATTTCACTAAAATCTATTTTGTGTGATATTAACAAGGCCACTCAAACACTAATATGATTCGTGATTTGTGGTATGTATTTTTGTCCTTTTATTTCTATTTTGTTTTTGCCTTTATATTTAAAGTTTAATATTTTTTAAGACAGAGCCTCACTCTGTTGCCACACTGGAGTGCAGTGGCACAATCTTGGCTCCCTGAAGCCTTGACCTCCCAGCTTAAGCTATCCTCTCACCTTAGCTTCCCCAGTAGCTGGGACTACAGGTGCGTATCACCAAACCTAGCTCATTAAAAAGAAATTTGTAGAGACAAGGTCTCACTATATTGCCCAGGCTGGTCTTAAACTGCTAGGATCAAGGGATCCCCCCACTTTGGCCTCCCAAAGTGCTATTACAGGTGTGAGCCACTGTGCCTGGCTGTAAAGTGTTATTTTTAACAGGATATAGTGTTCCATGCTTTACTTTTAAACCCAGTCTGACAATCTCTTCCTGTTAATTAGAATTGGAAAGTTTATGTGCAGTGTACATATAATATTTCAATGTTATAATCTCTATTAGGTATAAATATACTATCTTGCTCTTAATATCCAAATTTTCCCATCTGTTGTTTGTTTCTTCTTTCTGTTCTTTGGAATAACTGATTTTATTGTATTTCTATTTTATCCAAAGTTGACCTATTGGAAACACATATTTAATTGACTCTTAAGGTATAACATGTACATATTTAACCCATTAAAATTACCTTCATACTATTTCATATAATGTGAAAACTCTACAATTCCATTTCTTCCTGTCTTATTTTTCATTTTACTTCTGCATATGATGAAGTCCAAGATAATTTTGCTTTAAACAGTCAAATGTCTCATAACAGAATAAAAATAGAAAAATAACTAGTTATATTTATTGCTATTCAATGACATTTTTCTTTGTATATATCCAAGTCTTCTACTATCCTATATCTTCTTCTGTAAGAAGATTGTAGCATTTTTTAGTCAAAACCTGCCGAGAACAAATTTTGTCTTTGTTTATTTTGAAGTCTTTATTTTACCTTTATTTCTGAAAAATAAATTTCACTGAGTATAGAAATCTAGGTTGACAGGTTACATTTTTTTCAGCACTTGAATATACTCTTCTGTTGTCTTCTGGCTTGGTTTCTAGAAAATGTCTGCAGTTATATTTGTTTCTCTGTGCCTAGTATGATATTGTTTCTCTCCTGCTTTTTAAGATTTTCTATCATCGGTTTTCACGAATTTGATGTCAATGGGTCTTGATGTGGTTTTGTTTGTTCTTTTAGGGCGTTTTGAGTGTCTTGGATCACTGGGTTTCCAGTTTTATCATTTGGACATTTCCTGGTCATTATTTCTTTTTGTTGTTGTTTTCTCTCACGTGTTTTCTACTGGAACTTCAAATACATGTTTTTGGACTGCTTGTTACTGTAACAGAGTACTGAGAATATATTAATTATTTTTTATATTTTTTCCTAACTTGGCTTCATTTTGAATTGTTCCAATTGCTATATATTCAACTCTATTAATCAACTCTTCTCTATTGCCTAATCGGCTGCTAATTGCCTCTAGGAATTTATTTTTCACTTCAGATATATTATTCATGTTTATATTTATATGTGGTTCTTTAATATATCCTCATTTTTTTCTGTGCCCATTTTTTCTTTAAATCTTGAACATAGTTATAATACCTGTTCAGATTCCTTGTCTACTATTTTTTATCTTTTCTGTCACATTTAGGTTTATCTTTCCTGAGTGACTGTTTGGGGGCATGCTTTGGGTTATATCTTCCTGTTTTTTGGTATGTGCCAGGGATAGGTTTTACTGAGAGTGTTTTTTACTTCTGTGAGAGTTTAGCCCCTACTACCAATGTGTGGCCCTTCTAGAGCATCTAGAGCATCCCAAGTGCTCAACAAGGACATACTACTCTACCTGATGTGTTCTGGAACTGTTTAGCCCATAACTCTTCAGTCACACTTTCATTAGCCTATGGGGGGTTATATCCTATATGTAAACATCTTTTTTTTTTTTTTTTTTGGAGGGGGTCTCACTCTGTTACCCAGGCTGGAGTGCAGTGGTGCAATTTCGGCTCACTGCAAGCTCCACCTCCCAGGTTCACGCCATTCTCCTGCCTCAGCCTCCCAAGTAGCTGGGACTACAGGTGCCCGCCACCATGCCTGGCTAATTTTTTGTATTTCTTTTTTAGTAGAGACAGGGTTACACCGTGTTAGCCAGGATGGTCTGGATCTCCTGACCTCTTGATCCGCCCGCCTAGGCCTCCCAAAGTACTGGGATTACAGGCGTGAGACACCGTGCCTGGCCCACATCTTATTTTTAAACAAAGATTCAAATCCCCTCATGCAGATTTCTGGAGCTCTTTTGGGACATGTTTCCTTATATCAAGAACTCTTCCACACAACTTCCATCTACTTAGACTTTTTGAACACCAGTCTCTGTGTCCCCAACTCACCAAGTCGACCAAGCTCCCTTGAGGTACCCATCTATGCTTCCTGGCAGAAATCAGAGAACTCATAAGCCTTTGTTTCCCTTTTCTCAGGGTTCATGATGTTGTGCTCCTATTCCTCAATGATTGAAAATTTTTTCATATGTTTTGTCCAGTTTTCTAGGTTAAGGTGAAAGGTTTCATCTATTCCCTGTTACTACATCATTGCAGGAACAAAAGTCCTGCTTTGAGAAAATAAAAGTATTCTTTCAACGTTTGTTAGGTAATTATGATGTATTTCCAGAGTTAAGGATCACTCTATAAATTAGGTTACACTTTCTTTCAAAATAGCAAGACTTTCTATTATTTTAAAATATGACCTAGAGACACATTAATTTTCTTGCTATCCCTTCACATTCTATCAGATTTCACATTCCCTCAAGAGATAGATTTGGAAATTTGAGTTTTTCAGAGCTGTTAAAAAAATGAAAGGTTAACACCACATGTTCTCACTCATAGGTAGGAATTGAACAATGAGAACACTTGGACACACGGTGGGGAACATCACACACCAGGCCTGTCCTGGGGTGGGGGGATGGGGGAGGGATAGCATTAGGAGATATACCTAATGTAAATGACGGGTTAACGGGTGTAGCACACCAACACGACACATGTATACATATGTAATAAACCTGCACCTTGTGTACATGTACCATAGAACTTAAAGTATAATAATAAAAAAAGAAATGAAAGATTAAACTGCTTATTTTCTTGCTTCTAAAAGCAGTCATTATATCAGCAACACTAGCATTAACTGCCAATTAATTCAATTAATTGTAGCATATTAAAGCAGCACATTAAAAATCCAGAATTTCATACCCTATCCCAGATCTACAGAGTGTGAATATTCCCAAGAACCTTGCATGATACATGAGAACTTTATATTCTAAGAAACTCTGTATAATATGCACACTAAAAATCTAACAGAAACCAAATGAAGTTGATAGGTGAGGAATAAAAATGACTAACAAGAGTTTTAAAATACCTTATAAGGGTATGTTAATGTTTTCAGTTGTGTTGAATATACATATATACACACACACACACACACTATATCTATATGTGTATATACACATACACACACACACACTATTGCTGCTATACACTTCCATGTTATCTTATAGAAAATTTCCCCCTAAAGTGGTAAAGTGGTAATCAAAATAAGTATCACATTGTGGAAAGACAATTCTAGCTCTTGCATTTTATTTTTGAGCCAGTTTCAGTGTATAGGTCAACAGCAACATACTGTCTTTTTCTAATATTAGTTTATTCTGTCATTTAATTCCATTTAGTGTCAGCTTGTATTAGAATTGTTAGAGTACACACACACCAGTTCAAGGAAAGAATGATCATTGTTGGGAAATAATTGACAGAGTAATAAACCTTGTACTACTCTACACTGCAGGAAGTGAAGGCATGCCAATAGTTGTCATGTTTCCTGCAGCCCTTCTGAAGTTTTTATGGGATGATGTAAATGAATAGATGGCTTGTCACACTTATTGAGAGAAAGGTAAAATATTTGTTAAAGATAAATGTAAATGCCTTATTTATTTTTAAGGTAAATTTAGCAGTTTATTCTACTTATTCATTCAAATCAATAAATTAAATAAAAATAAATGTCTTAAATATGGCCTAGGAACAAGGAAATGGGTTGGGGGCTGCATGTAAAAATACAATTTGACATGAGAACATGAGGTATAAACATGAGAAAGTCCAAGGTAAGGCAAAGTAAAATCAACGTTGTTAAAGAAGCCCAGTAGGCCGGGCGGGGCGGCTCATGCTTGTAATCCCAACACTGGGAGGCTGAAGTGGGCAAATCACTTGAGCCCAGGAGTTTCAGACCAGCTTGGGCAACATAAGGAAATCTCATTTGTACAAAAAATACAAAAAAAAAAAAAAAAGCTGGGCGTGGTCGTCAGTGCCTGTAGTGCTAGCTACTCCAGAGGCTGAGATGGGAGGATCACCCAAGCACAGGGAGGTTTAGGCTGCGGTAAGCCATGATCACGCCACTGCACTCCAGCCTGGGTGAAGAGACAGACCCTATCTAAAGAAAACAAAAACAAAAAGAGACTCAGTGGATGTTAAAAAAAAAAAAAAAAAAAAAAAAAAAAAGGGGGGGCATCATGTAGTTTTGAAATCCAAAGGAAATTTATAAAGAAAAGATAGAATGGGGCCAGGGGCTAATAATACCAGGAGGCTGGAATTTCTGTTAGAGAGTAACACATTAGGAAATTCCTGCTAGCAGGAAGCTACACGACATGCTTATATGGATGATTATATAGGAAATCAGAGGGCAGAAAAGTTTAAAATGATACTTTAGGTGGGGCCAAAGAGAAGGGAGAATTTGCATGCAATGTGGTTAGAAAGATTTTGGCCAAGTGAGTGGCAAAAGTAGTGATGTGTTTTAAAAACTATAGCATTCAGGACAATTTGGAAAAAATGTGGAATTATCTACAATGATTTTGCAATAAGCATGGCAAGAGAATAATCAGAATGGGAAGGAGGCATTATTTATGAGAGAAGTAGTTGAGGTAGATTCTACACCAATTTGAAAACAATTAGATAAAGAAATTCAAATTGTGAAAGACCATGCAAAGCAATTTAGCTGGTTTTTCTTAAGGGATAGTTCTTTTGTAGGTATAGCAAAGAAAAAGAACTGATTGTGTTGGAAAGGAGATTTGGGACATATATAATCGACAACGTTAGTGGAAAATCTGGAGAAAAATATAGAGCAAGCAGATGAAACACATCTTTAGATTTAGCAGTAAAAATTCAAAACATCAGTTTAATTTGGCTTCCATTAATTTTGTAATATGTATTGGATATATGTAGCTAGATATAGTTATAGACACAGAATTGTCTATAACAGTAATAGTTAAAGGCACAGAATTGCATGAAACCAAAGAAAATTATTTGAGATAGAGGGGAAAAAAACGCAGAAGTATGGAACACAGTTTTAGGGAGAGAGAGATGTAAAGAATAGAAGACAGTGAAGAAAACACAAAAGCACAGTTCAGAACAGAAAAAAAGTCAGATAATTGAAACCAAATAAAGAAAGGAAAAATGAAATATTTATCAATAGTTGCAAATACTTCAAAGAGTTAAAGGAAAATTAGATAACAGAGTTCAATGAGTTTAGTAGAACCCAAGATAATCTCTCCATTTAAAGGTTAGCAAATCTAATTAGTAACCTTATTTCCATGTGCAAAATCTCTTCAAATTAGTACCTAGATTTATGCTTGATTGCAAAACCCAGGTTATGAGAATATTGGAGGGTCTTCCTTGGAATTCTTCCTATTATACCTGGAAACTTCTTTCAGGTCTACATATCTTTTTCTGCATGTCTTATGTTTCATATTCAGTGTCTAGTGTTGGATAATCAATTTCTTGTTTTAGATAGTTCATTCTCAGTGTCTAAGTGCATATTTCTCCACAAGGTATTTCTAAGTAATATTTAATACTGAAATGCTTAGGAAGGTAGCTTCTTCCAATAAGCTTTGTGTTTTGTGTGAGCCTCACAATGACTCTCACACTATAAGATGTTAAAAGACACAGCCTTGATTTTCTCTCCAAAACTGTGCATGGTGGGGTGGTGTATCTTTTCTCAGAGAGTTACATATTCTTCCATACTAGCTAAAGAGAGTTGCAGCAGACATACCAATGACTGAAGTCTGGTCTAAAAACAAAACAAATTCAATAAAACACTCATATTGAACCACCTTGGATACTAACATGCTACATTATACATTTATATTTCCAAATGTTTTCCTGAAATCTCACTATAGTAGGACAGTGAGTGTTTGTTTAATTGGGTAGATTTCATACTAAAGCAAACTTATTTTAGATTAGGGTCATGAGAGAATGGCATTGGGAATACAAGTTAAGGGGGATGCCTTAGTAATGTAAAAATATCCAGATTCTCAGAAAGCTCAGCACCGAGGAAATAGAGTTTACTCATGGAATAAGTGTAGCAAAGGATACTCTATCCATGGCAAATTACAGCCTCCTCATTGTTCGTAGCTCTTACCTCATATCTAAATTACAGTTGCTCTGTATTGTATTCCTTTCATCCACATTTTTGTCTCTGCATTTTAATTTTGCTAAAAACCAATTATAAATAACACAAGCAACACATACCAAAGTTGCCATGATATACTTTTTAACTAACATACACTTTTACCTTTCACAGTGAGGATAGAAAAGCTAGGATCATATGGCCAGGTGCAGTGGCTCATTCCTGTATTCCCAGCACTTTGGGAGGCTGAGATGGGCAGATCATTTGAGGTCAGGAGTTTGAGACCAGCCCGACCAACACGGTGAATCCCTGTCTCTACTAAAAATACACAAATTAGCTGGGTGTGGTGGTGCATGGCTGTAATCCCAGCTACTTGGGAGGCTGAGGCAAAAATTGCTTGAACCTGGGAGGCAGAGGTTGCAGTGAGCTGAGATTCTGCCACTGCACTCCAGCCTGGGTGACAGAGGAAGACTCCATCCCCAAAAGAAAAAAAGTTAGGATTATAGAACATTCTTAATCCACAGTGTATCTCCATAATGGAATTGAGGTCACAGACTATGAAAAAAGTAGAAAAATATTGATTAAAAATTCAGATATTTCATCTAAAATCTGTAGGCGGGAACTGAAAAAAGAAATGAAGGTATGCTTACATGGGAAGTATTTTAACACAACAGGTAATTTTTGAGTGCTCATTATGTCCAAACACTGATGAGCACTTAGATCAAAGATATTATTCTTGTCAACAAGAAACTTACTTAGGGTCTAGCTGTTGAAAAGATAACAGGAAATTTAGAGTCTAGCTGTTGAAAAAGGAAAATAAGATAATTCATGAATAATTAATGAGGGGAAAAATAAGAAAACTGTCCAATAATAATAAAATTCTTTGGGAATCACAAGGAGGAAAAATGATTCCAGGATAATTGGAAATGATTCTTCTAAAAATATATCTTTGAAGGCTCATGCTGTATTATCAGCATCCTTTCTAACAGCCTTGCTTCTGCAAGTCATTTTGAAACAATACAAATTAGATAGGTGCAGCTTGCATTAATATCAAAAGGAATATCACATAAATCCATTCAGGATGAAGAGATTTCCAGAGAAGTAAAAGGAAGTTTTGAAATAGTGCGTAACAAAGACATTTAAATGAAGAACCATTTTTATTTCATTTGTCCTGATATAAAGATATTTTTCAATTTAAATTATTGGTCTGTTTTGAGGATTAAAGTATGAAGTGATGTTCAGAGAATATCGTTAAAATGCATTCTTCTTTGTTGTTAAAATTGTACAGCCTTTAAAATTCAATGTAAATTAGCAAATTTTAAACAGTATTAATTACATATTAAGTAAAATAGCTATGATATAACTTTGGCATACTACTTCATAAAACTGGATCTCTTGATAATTGATTGATGTAATTTTGTTCTTCATATATTTATGACTTATAGCAAGCCTACTTTAAAAGTTATCAGATGCAACTGATTGATGTAATTAGACCATGAAAATGAATGAAATATTCTGACATAATAGGCAGTAACTCATTTAAATGATATGCCTAATTTGTTAGCTTCCAGAGTCAGATCAATTTTGGATAAGTAATTTATATTACTGAATTATATTCCAATTTATGAGAACAAAAATTAAGCACTATACAGCCTGTTGAGAGCCTGCCAAAGAATCATGGATTTTAGTACTGAAAAGGTTAAGTGCATAAATGTGAAATGACCTAAACCAATATTCCAAGAATTTTTTAATGCAATAACAATAAATTATATATTTCAAAGCAGTGACAATTGCTAATTTATAAACTAGTAAACCTTACTAGCTGGCCTAGGTATTGCCAAGTAGAGCCTTCTAATGAAGAAAGTCTTTGTAAGCCAATAATATAGTTGGAATTTACTATTAAGAGCGTATTCTAATAGAATTTAAACCAAGAATTTGAAATGTTGTTTTCATTGGTAATGGATGGGGTATTGGTGCATAGCTAAAATAGAAACATCTATTAATAACTACTTAAATACTAATTGAGGCCTAATGATGTGTATGTATGATATTTATACAAAAGTATTTCAAGGGAGAATGATGTCATTTAGTTAAGACACTATCTCAAGATGCACAGAGTGAAGAAAATATTTCTCTCAGTCTTCAAGAGAAAAGCTTGATTCTAATTGAATATCCAATACCTTCCTTAGTTGGAATAAAAGCATTATGCAGCTTGCAAAACAAACTAGCAATTGCTGATAGCTCCAAACTAGAGCTCACTAGAGAGTCTGACAGCAAAGCAAGTTATAGCCTCTCTTGAGTCCATTGGCAAGAACTGCTGATCACACATCTTACCTCTCAATCACATGTACATAGCAGTGAAGAGCCGACTGTCATCTTTTGTTTGGAACAATGCATATTTTAAATGTGTAAATGTGCTACTGTTTGAGGTGCCTACATTTATAATTTCTGCATATACTTCTGTTTATATTTAAAAAAATAATCCTTTTAAGCACAGAAATGTGAAATATTAATAGGCTATTTCTTTCCTTTTTAACAGTACTTTGGCTTTTGGACAACTTTGTAAAATATTATTTAACAATCTCACATTTTACATTCCAAAAGAGATAAAAATGCATTTAAATTTAAACACTGATTATTATTTACATATAGTTTTATAGATATTGTGTATGTTCATTGTACATATGTAATAGACATTAAGACTGAATGACAAAGCATTTAAATATTGAAATACTTCTTAAAACCTATTAACATTTTAGTTAAAAGCTTGTTCTACCATGTGATAATCATGTTCATGTATTTTTGTGGTACCAAGTATGTGTCCATATCCATGTGTAAGATTTTCTCAGACTTTCCAGAATCAATTTAATTGAATTATTCGTTTCATATCCCTAGTCTCATTCCTTTTTGGGGACAAGATTTTAATCCTTTATAATATGCATTGCTTTTTCAAACATCAAACACTTCCACACATGGGCAGAAAATAGCCCACCTTACAACAGAAACATTTGTCTACAACAAAAACATTTGTCTACCCAAGGGCAATATACTACTGAATCACTAGGACTAAGTCTGGAATACCTCCTTTCTAAGAAAGTTGCACTTTTGAGCATTTTATTTGGCATATATTTTTTCTGAAACAAGATATTGGAAATTTCAAAGGACCCACAGCAAATCCACACAAAATGTTTTGAGGTAGGTATGTGAGAATGTCGAACTCCTTTAAAAGTAATTTATTTTGCTTTGTTTTGTTTTTAGATTGGACAAGTAGGGTAGTAGGGAGGCAGAGTGAGAGTGACGTTTAAAAACAACCAACAAGCAATAGTTGCTGTTTATCCTTAAAGGTATCATTAAAATTGTATTTTAGCTGTCAGACTTGGTAATATGGGAAATATTTCTAGAATTTGGTGATCTGCTCCAAGTGCCAAGATGTTTCTTGACTCTAGTTGGTCTTTAGAGACATTTTGATTTATCTTTGCCACATTTTTAGAGGGTCTTACAGACAGAATTTGCAAAGTATGAATGGTTCCACACAAGAAGGGACCAAAGGTATTTGAATGAAATAAATTGAATAAAATAGGATGTTGGTTTTATAATAGGAGAAGTATATTTCACTGAACAATATCAAAGAAGTTTATGCCAATAGCAAAGTGAATTTTAAGTTCCTTTGATTTAAATTCATTTATCTGTAAGTCATCATTTAAATACTTGTTAAACGCTTATATTTTCATACCTATAGATGCCTATCCACCTCCACTGAAGATGAAATACCTACTACTTCATTTATTTCAAATATTGTCCTAAGCCATTGTAATAGTCTGGTTTATAATTACTAAATTTGATGTCTTAAATGGCAAAAGTTGCCATTTCATAGTAAAATTCAAAATGGAAATACATTTATAAAAAACTATAATTATTTATCAGGAGTATCAGCTGCAGTAGCAAGATTATACTGAAAACAATTTCTAATTTTATACAGTAGCAGGTCACCAGATACAGAGCTGCAAAATGTGTATTTATAGATACCATGATCTATCAACCACTGAAATGACCTTGAAAACCCAAAACATCAAACCATGCAAGCACTATTGGATTTCTGTCAAGAGCATAAAATATTTAAAGAAAAATAATAGAAGATCATGGGCACTTTCAGTGTAGTAGGTAAGAACATTTTGGCAGATCTTAGATATATAACACTACAGTTCTATTTGTGTGAGCATAAACTGGTCAAATTGTTCTATAGCAAGTAACATAACCATTTTATAGGACATTTAAATAGGTATATTCAACAAGGACACATTTTCCCCAAGGAAAGTTGTAAGAAAATATTTCAAGGCAAAGAATAAAAGCTACTTAGTCTGTCAAACGCATTCTTTTTCCTGTATTTCATGTATTATTGTGCCATGTAATGATAATTTTGGAAATTATCTAAAAAAGTATTTTCTTGGGGAACGTTACCTAATCATTTTATAGATGTATTTAGCATCTTTAAAAGAACAGGGTTTATTTATTACAATGATGAATAGGTTTAATTTTAAATAAAATTTACTTTTTATTGAGATAGGGTCATATTGTGTCACCCAGCCTGGAGTACAGTGGCAGGATCACTGCTCACTGAAGCCTCAAACTCCTGGGCCCCAGTGATCCTCCCACCACAGCCTCCTAAGTAGCTGGGACTATAGGTGCACACCACCAGGCCTGGCTAATTTTTGTAATTTTTTTGTAGAGACAGGGTTGCACCAAGGCTTAGTTTTTAAAATAATCAACATGTGATTACTGCAAAAAATTAATACTAAATTTTGTAGTGTTGATTTAAATATGTTTATTTAAATATGTATAAATTATATAAAAGTGAGATTAATAACATTTATTTAATTTGGGAGGAAACTCGTTTATGGATGAGTGCGAATGCACAAAGGTTTTTCTGTTACAAGAGTGTAAATGAGAAACATGAGAGAGGGAACAGAGAACCCAAGTTGGTAGAGGCTGAAGGAATTTTTTTAATGATTTGTTATTTTATAAAAATTTCTGATGGTGACAGGTCTTTGTGTATTTGAACTCTTTTAGCAGATTACCTGTGTTGCACATTACATTCTGGTTTAATGCTTGTTCAACAATAAAATTGTTTTCTTTATTGCCTTTGTGGAGAGATTTTCAAGGTTGAGAGATTTGCTTTTCAATTATGTCTCCAGCAAAACACATGAACTCTTTTCCTGGAGACATATTGATTCACTTTTTCCTTGAGAATTGAATTATTTTCCTTTTTAAAATAAAAATTTTAAGTTCCACCTTCAGTGATTTTTATTTTGAGCTAAGAGCCTTTTTTTCCCTGAAAATGATGAAGTTAGCTTTCCTAAAGTAAATTAAATTCATAATGCTTTTCTTTTGAAGAAACTTAAACGCCTTGTTCATGCCTGCAACCCTACACTAGGTTTAAGGAAACTTCTCTATCACTAACTCATGTAGATGTTTTAAGTCTAACAGAAACAATAGTGATTTGTATGTCTGTCCATAGATACCACCTCAGGTGAAGGATAGCTTTTTAGGTTTGTAGGAAGTTGATAATTGACTCAAGAAAAAGCATGCCAGCTGGATGAACTTCAGGATGATTGAGATAATTGAATTAGAGGAAATATTTGAAAATGAACTCTTGAGTTTGTTGTAAATCCAAAGACCCTTGAAATGGATAATTCATAGTATTTTTACAGCCATTGATGGTTATTGGCAATTCTTTGATTTTGTAGATTCTCTTTATTTTTTTTTGGATTCTAGTAGGAAAGTGTTTTGAAATTAGGTCATATTTCAACACACACACACACACACACACACACACACACACAACTATATTTGATCCTTGAAATATTAGAGAACAAAACATTGGAATGAGGACTGTTTAGATAATAAACATTTTTATTTAAAATTAAATAACCAATTAACCAATTAGTATGTAGTCAGGTTTAAACATGTGTTAATGGGGGAAATTTTAGAGATTTTATCTTTACAGGAGACAATTAGCTTTGTTTTATTTTACTTTGTTGACTAGAAATTAGTCAGCTAATTAATTATAAATCCTGTGTGTCAAGAAATGATCTCCAGCTACAGTCTGTAATCATTTACAGAAAAGTAAGTCAAATTATAAGCTTTATTGCTAAAGATTTACTAATTTAAACTTCATATTTTAAGTTATAATGAATATATTAGAAACAAGGAATTGTAAACGTTGTTTTATTAGTTCCAAAAAAAATTTTTCCCCAGGGAATTTTAAGTCTAATTGAATTAGAAGTCTTGGGCTGGGTGATTTTAAGGCAGAATTTGAAAGGTAGAGAATGTACTAGTGAAGCCACATTGTTGTCTGGGGTACTACCCAAGGTTCGTTGAGCCACAGTCATGAAAACTGACATGGGCACACCAGAGTAAGGGTAAGAGCGGAAGTTTTGTAGGTGAAAGAAAGAAGAGCTCTGGAAGCAGAGAGTGGTCCCAGAGAAAATGGGTTGCTGCTTCCATGGTGAAACGCAGAAGGTTTTTTAGGTGAGCTTGAGGGGGCAGTATCTGATTCACATAGGGCACGAAAGATTGGTTGAAAAATCTGTGCCATTTGCATAGTGCACAAAGAGGCTGGCTGCCCCGCCCCCTAGTCTTTTATTTTGCAGATAGGTTCTCCACCTGGCCAACATCATGTTGCCTGCCTCTTTATCGCACACACGGTGACAAAGAAAAGGGAAGATGGAGCCTCCATTTTGAACATACCTGGCTTCCAGGAAGCCCTTTTCTATTGGCACAGCTGCTAGCACTCACCCATGCAAGTTTCCAGCTTGCTTATCTATGTTTGCAGCTCGATTTTTCAGGCTGCTCTTTGTTAGAAAAAGAAAATGATTGGGGAGCGGCTTTTTACTAAAAGGGAAGCCTTGCCGAGGACTTATTTACCTTCACTATCTGCCTAAATAATTTCTGTCTAGCTTCTGAATCACTAAGATTGAGCAAAACTAAAGATATAATAGCTCTTAATAAAGAAGGAATATAAGATAAGAGTTTTGAAGCAAATCTTGATGAAGTAGAAGTTTACTAGAATACAGTCCTGTGCCAAATAATGACTTTTCAGTCAGTGATGAACAACACATACAACAGTAGTCTCCTAAAATTACAGTACTGTATTTTTACTGGCCTTTTCAATGCTTAGATATGCAAATACTCTCACTGTGTTAACAATTGCTTACAGTATTCAGTACAGTAGCATGCTCTACAGGTTTGGAGCCTAGGAGCACTAGGTTATACCATCTAGGTTTGTCTAAGTACATTTTGTGATGTTCACACAATGACAGAATTATCTACAAACACATTTCTGAGAACACATTTCTTCCATCATTAAGATATGTGTGATTGTAGTTCTAATGAAGAAACTGTAGTCTTGGTAAGGAAGTGGTTTTAGATGTTTTCTAGATTATCTTACAGTTACAAGTATTTCCTGAAGCAAACAAGTCATTTTTTGCTTGGTTTCACATACATAGGATTTTATGCTTGGTTTCAATTCAAAGAAAATAAGATAATTTAGAAAAAATGTAAGAAATAAGATGTGAGCATTCATATAATCAATTATACTGAATAGCTTTCCCCTCTGTGAAAGAGAATACCTACCAAGAAAAGCATTTCCAATATTGTAGACTATTGGTCCAAATGTTTCCTTTAATGTAGGTGTTGTAAGTATGTAAACAGGAAACATGAAGAAGAGAATTTCATTTAATTGCAATAGAACTACCAGTTATCCAGTAAGAGGGTAATGAAGTAAGAACTTCATTTCAGTTAGACTTTATAAGTTGCAAACAGAGTTCAATGTAATCCTTTTAAACAGAAAAGGGAATCTTGTATTAGTTTGCCTACAAAATTTCTAGAAAGACAAAATAAACAAGGCTGAATGCTACATTGCTAGCAATGAGGCTGGTGCAACAAGCCCATAGGGCAAATTTGTATGAATTAGAAAAAGATTTTCTTCTAAACAAACCACTCTTTGAATACATAGCTTGGTAAGGGTATACAGCATGAAAAATACTATTGCCTGCCAGAAACCTATACAGTAATGCAGCGACGCTGGAACAATATGACCAGGAAACGGTATCCAAATGTAAGTGGGATGGTCCTAATGGAAATACCATTAAATCACCTCCTAGGAAATACCATTAAATCACTTAAAAAAAAAAAAAAAAAAGAGGAAAGTCTCTGCTAGATCTTCCCTAAGAGAACCAAACACTTGTGTTATATGTTTTCATATAGAGCTACCATATCACATTACTAACTTCTGCCTTCCCAAGTCTTATAGAGATATAATATATCTGTTTGCCCTAACTGAGGTCATATGGCAAGTCCTTGCTGTGAAAAAATATAGATGATTTTGTTCCTAGAGTTCAACCACAATAACAGAGGAATGCTAGGGAGAAGGGATTCAGAGAGGGTGCCAAATGAGCCAATCTGCAGAATCTAGCAGCATTTATCCAAAAACCATCCATTGAGAGCCTGCTATCACTCAAACACTGTACCAAGAACATGCTTGAAAAGCCTGAAGTCTAGTCAATTTTTAAAATATTTTCTGGCCAGGTGCAGTGGCTCATGCCTGTAATCCCTGCACTTTTGGAGGCTGAGACAGGCAGATCACTTGAGGTCAGGAGTTCGAGACCAGCCTGGGCAACATTGTGAAAACTCGTCTCTACTAAAAATGTAAAAATTAGCTGGTGATGGTGGCAGGTGCCTGTAATCCCAGCTACTTGGGAGGCTGGGGCAGGAGAATCACTTGAACCCAGGAGGCAGAGGTTGCAGTCAACCAAGATTGCACCACTGCACTCCAGTCTGGGTGACAGAGGGAGACTCCATCTCAAAAAAAAAAAGTTTTAAATAGGAAAGTTTATCTGAGTTATTTACCTCTGTATTTAAGCATCACAAAATAATTATCACAATGCTTGGAGAAATTTTACATGCATCTGCTCTTCTCATGCATAGTTTACTATAGTAATGGTATATATTTTAAGCAAATTATTGGAATATTGCAACTGGCTGATGACTGTATTTATAATAGCATTTAATTTTATTTCCCCTTTTTTCAAAAGTTTCTCTATTTGAAGCAATACCTTACGTCTAAAAGACTCTTCCTCCTATGCATATAAAGAGATAATTAGGTACTCTGAAATTTTTTAATGATATTTAGCAATATAGAAATTATAGGACTGATATGAACCATTGCATACAAGAGTGGTATACACAATGCTCTTCTCAACTTTTCCTTATTCTTACCTTGTACTGCATAACCCCATGGGCACATGCTTAGGCTACTGCTTATTTGCTCTGTAATTTTGCTTATAGTATGTCATATAAGTAACCCTTAAAATCCTGGAGGAAAACTTTGAAATACCTTTAAATTAAAATAGAAATTTTGATATTGCTTTAATTTATGTAAGATTTTACTTATTGTATTCATTTGTTTTCACACTACTATAAAGAACTACCTGAGACTGGGTAATTTATGAGGAAAAACAGGTTTAATTGACTCACAGTTCTGCATGGCTGGGGAGACCTCAGGAAACTTACAATCATGGCAGAAGGCGAAGGGGAAGCAAGGCACATCTTGAGAGAGGCAGAGAGGGAAGTGCCACACTTTTAAACCATCAGATCTCATGAAAACTCACTATCAAGAGAATGTTATGGTAGAAATCACCCCTATGATCCAATCACCTCCCACCAGGTCCCTCCTGGGATTGCATGGGAATTACACATGGAGATTACAATTCGAGATGAGATTTGGATGGGGACATAGAGCCAAACCATATCACCTATCTTAAAATTTTCATATGAATAATCACAAAAGTACTAATAAAAAGTTACGAAATAAGAACTTGGCTTTTTTCCAGTTTTTTTTCTATTTGTAACCAAAATCTTGTTTGAAAGATGTGTATCAGAAATTTGTCATCAATAAAGGACATTTGAAAATTAATATTTTAGTTTTTAAGGTTGTCCATTTCTATAACATTAATATTGTCTGCGTGTAGAAATCAGAATATAAGTTAAATAACCCTCACCCTAAATTAAAAATTCTAAAATGTCATATATTCTTTTTATACATTTTATAGAAATACACTTTAAAGGTATAACTTCAAGTAATTTATGTTTTAATTTTTAAAAATTTGCGTGCTGTTTTTTATGTTCTCATTCAGTCCTTAAATGTGTACAAACTATACAGGGCTAAGAAAAACATTTAATATTTTCACAAAGCTTTTATAGAAAAATATTGATCCCAGATACATCAATCATTGGGTGTCAAATTGTCCAGTATTTTCAGTTTCTTCATGCTACTGTTGTATTTTTGCTTCTTTGACATCTAGCTCAAAGTAATATATGTTCCATTTTGAAATAATTATTAAAATGTGTCCTAGAAGGCCTTTGTAAAACACATTCTTTTTAAATATGATTCCAGCTATCAAGCGCCATAATTATGTGAACGTGTTCCGAACAAACTAAAGAATAACATAAAAATATGATTATTAGGGTATGGTGGCTAATGCCTGTAATCCAAGCACTTTGTGAGGTCGAGGTAGGCAGATCACCTTAGGTCAGGAGTTCAAGACCAGCCTGGCCAACGTGATAAAACTCCGTCTCTACTAAAAATACAAAAATTAGCTGGGCGCGTGTAATCCCAGCTACTCGGGAGGCTGAGGTGGGAGGATCACTTAAACCCGGGAGGTGGAGGTTGCAGTGAGCTGAGGTTGCACCACTGGCACTCCAGCCTGGGTGACAGAGCAAGACTCCATCTCAAAAAAAAAAAAAAAAAAAATTTTGAAAACTATGATTCTTTCTGACTACCCTAATAACATTTTTATGATTTTTAAAAATGCATAGCCGTGTAGATTTTCTTTAAATATATATGTAGACAAAGTCAATTTTTGTTTTCATTTTTACTGTTAGTAAACTCTTTATGTATGGGTTTTCTTCTTGTGAGATGGGGAATCTAAATTTTCTGTCATTAACATCCAGGGAATACAAAAATTTACAATCTATACTAAGGGTTATCATTACAGCCGAAAGATTAGGCAGATAGCCTTACAAAAGACTATTCTTAAGGAAAGTTCAGTAAGTAATAGGAATTAATAAAGTGAGGCAAAATCTTGATTGATTTGAAGACTATTGTTCAGGGGCATCACTAGTGAGCCTACCACAAAATTGTTTGAAGGGTTACCGGGGATTAACCAAAAGTGGCTTTATTAAATTTGCTTAGCATCACTCACTGACACATCTGTATAGATCCTTCAAGTTCATCCTAGTCTACAGCAATTAGTACCCTTCAAATGATCTGTTTATCACTAACTTTATTAGTTTTAGTAATTTTTAAATTAGTAAGTAGGCTATATTTCAAATTTACAAAATCTAGATATGTTGGAATATATAGAAATCACTGCTCACTCAGTTTTAAAAATTTATATTTTGTTGTTTCTCATTTTGCTGCAGATTCCTCACTAGTCAAATATTTACTTTCTTTTTTTCAGTGACTTAGAGATATTATATATCTACATTCATAATAAACACTTTTAAGAATATTAAAATGGAAAGTAGATACTAACTTTGAAGTAACACCAAAACACTTAATTTTCTATTCAATCGGTACTTATTCACGTCTTTGCTCTTTTTTGTTTTTTTTTGGAGACAGAGTCTAGCTCTGTCGCCCAGGCCGCAGTGCAATGGTGCAGTCTCAGCTAACTGCAACCTCAGCCTCCCGGGTTCAAGTGATTCTCCTACCTCAGTCTCCCAAGTAGCTGGGATGACAGGCACCCACCATCATGCCCAGCTAATTTTTGTATTTTTCATAGAGACGGGGTTTCACCATGTTGGACAGGCTAGTCTTGAACTCCTGACCTCAGGTGATCCGCCTGCCTTGGCCTTCCAAAGTGCTGGCATTACAGGTGTCAGCCACTGTGCCCGGCCTGCTTTTTCTACTTAAAGTTACTTTCTTACTTTCTATTTAAACTTGTGCATGTCCCGAAGGACTTTGCTTTGTGAGAGCTATTATATATTGAAAGACATTTGTTTAATCCCTCAGAAAAATATTGGATTAAAAGAAAATCTCATAAGATGTGGCTAATGTATTAAAATAAAGTGATTTAAACGTTCTTAAAAAGCAGAAAGAAATTTAAAAAGAGATCCATGGAAAAGAGAGCAACAAAAAACACTTAGAAATGTAACAGGACAGAAAATAAAGCATATAGATATAATAGTTTAGTCTGGCATTAATCGTGTTTTTACTCCTCTCAATCTAAAACTGTTATTAGAAAACTAATGGTTTTACGTAATGGGTATGTAGACATAATATTTTTTACATTGCTGAGTTCATTCTGTAGCTACTATTCTATACTCTAATTTTTCTTTTCTATTTCCTTGCCACTAAATATTTTGATAAACACTACTTTCAGTAATAGATACCACATGTGTCTCATAACATCATTATTATTTTGCCCCTTAAGTCTTAAACTTGGAGCTGAAGAAGCTGAAGATGCCAAAAAGAACAGAAAAATTCCCTGATGACAAGAGATGTTCTCTCTAGCCCAAAGGATGAGGAAAGAGACAGACTATCAAGACAGGAAATTTAAGTAGTAACTGCAGTGATTCAGCTAAACATCACAGAGAAAAAATGTAAAGATTTTATTAGACAGTAGTCTATTTCAACTGATGTATCATGGAAAATGCTAAAGCATATATGCATTTTTTCGCTGATGTTATATTCATTCTGATAATTGACTTGTTATCAATGGATATATTGAGTTAATGTATAAACAGTTCTTAAGAGTCTTGACTTATATTGCCAAAATGCTGTAAAACAAAGTTTTCATTCCAATTTGCAATACATGAGTATGTTATTAGATGACAACCTCATCAGCATCATCTACAAATTTTTATCAAACATCTGGTGAACAATTATTGTTGACTTTGGTTGCTAATATGATTGAACCGTCTCTGCTTTTATTCATCATTTGCCTTCAGTCTATTATCTCTTAATTTTCTTGATTTAAAAAAAAATTAGTTTGTTAGTGTTACTCTCATTGCTTTGAGTCATAACTATCACTTATGTACAAATATGTTCCCATCTTTATTTTCCATTTACTTGTTATTTATTGCTTATTATACATAACGGCTTTTTACAAATTGTTTTTGGTAGCTTACTGAAAATTTTTCATCTCTCCAGCCCCTCAAGAGTATGTTAGCAGCTGACACATATATATGACAACCTAAAATATCATTAGCCAAATGACACATGTTATAATAAAGTAGAAAAGTAGTTTGGAGGTATAGTAGTTGCTCCTTATCCACATGGTATATGTTCTAAAACACCCAGTGGATGCCTGAAACCATGGATAGTATTAAACACTATATACACTGCTTTCTTGTATGCATATATACCTATGATAAAGTTTAATTTATAAATTTAGCACAGTGAAAGTTAATAATAAAATAGAACAATTGTAACAGTATTCTGTCACAATTTCTCAGATAGAAGAGTTGTTCTTACCGTAGAGCTTAGGAACTGCAGCGTATGGTTGTTTTTTTTCTTTCCATATATGATAGCAAGAACCTTTACTTATGCACTTAAAGGATTTTGTGGCTTCTCTTTGGCATATCCAAATTGCCAGCATCACTATTCTTGCACTTGAGGCTATTATGAAGTAAACTGAGGGTTACCCGAACACATGCACTATGATACTGTGACAATCAATCTTATAAACCAAAGGGCTACTTATTGACTCATGGGCAGGTAGCTTAGAGATCATGGATATGCTGGACAAAGGGATAATTCACATCCTGGGCAAGACAGAGCAGGAACGTGTTAGACTTCATCATGCTACTCAGAACAATGTGCAGTTTAAAATCGTGAATTGCTTATTTCTAAAATTTTCCATTTAATATTGTCAGATCTTGACCGATTGCAGGTAACAAAAACTGAAAAGTGAAACCACTGACAAGCAGACTACTGTAATAGTATATAATGTAATATTTCAGCAATATTCAAAACTTCAGATGATTTTAAAATTGTGAACTAAATATTAGTGTTTAAAATTTAAGGGGAAAATATAAGACACTGAAAGATAGAAAGAAGGAAGACTGCCTTTCGTATTTTTTTGTTTTTGCCTCCTAAATCTTAAACTTGGAGTTGAAGAAAATGAAGATGGCAATAAAAACAGACAAAAATTCCCCGATGACAAAAGATGTTCTCTTTAGCCCAAAGAGACAGTCTATCAAGACAAACTTTAAATAGTAACTGTTGTGATCCAGCTAAACGTCACAGAAAACTGTTGTTCTACACTCATCTACATCAGCAAAGGACAAGTGGGAAGCCTTGAATTTCACACTTACTAGGCCACAAAAAGCTTCCCCTAATTCCTGCAAGCCTAGTGTCAGATAAGACCAGGTAGGAAATTAGGAATTTCATTTTCACTGACTGGCAATGAGTGCCAAATGTGTGATGTCAGTGTTGAAAACAGGGGAAGCCTGGACTACAATCCCTTTTAGCGTTAATAAGTTACCTTTGTCCCTCTCTACGTGGGCTGTATCTGAAGATGGTAGAGAGTCAGGACTCTCATCAACACTCAGGATGAATAAAGCCTTCACCATCATGGAGCCCATGTAGAGACCAGAAGTCTCAGTAGGAACTTCTGTCCAGTAGCAAGGAGGAATCCTCTCATTTTGTATGACAATGGAAACTATGTAGAGAATTTAGACTACTATCTTCAACTGGCAGTAATAGAGTGCCCCACTCCTTTCTCCTGTAAAAATGGTGTCAGGGAAAGCAAGTGAAGACAGAAAATTAAATGAAATCTATATTTTTATACCATAATACCCACATTGGAAAATCATTCATTATACAGAGAACAGGAAGAAGGAAGATTTCAAACTGAATGAAAGAAAATCAACTGATGCCAACACTGACATGATAGAACTATTAGATTTATATGATAGTAATTTCAAAGCAGCTATGTTAAAATGCTTCAAGGAACAATTATGAACATACTTGAAGCAAAAGTAAAAATTGAAAGTTTCAGCCCAGCTCAGTGGCTCACACCTGTAATCCCAGCACTTTGGGAGGCCAAGGCAGGCGGATCATGAGGTCAGGAGCTGGAGACCATCCTGGCTAACACAGTGAAACCCTGTCTCTACTAAAAATACAAAAACGTAGCCGGGCATGGTAGCTGGCACTTGTAGTCCCAGCTACTTGGGAGGCTGAGGCAGGAAAATCCTTTGAACCCAGGAGGCAGAGGTTGCAGTGAGCCAAGATAGAGCCACTGCACTCCAGCCTGGTGATACAGCTAGACTCTGTCTCAAAAAAAAAAAAAAAAAAAAAAAAAAAAAAGTTTCAGCAAATACATAGAAGACATAAAGAACCAAATGAAGATTATAGAACTGAAACATAAGATACAAAATACAAAAATAAAGTGGGTAAGCTTAATAGCAAAAGGGAGGAGAGAAAGAATAGGATTAATGAACTGGAAGATAGAATAATAGAAATTACCCAATCTGGAGGAGAATGGACTGAAACATAATCAACAGAAACTCTTGAACCCATGGGCTATAACAGAAGATCCAATGTTTATGTGATTGAAATCATAGAAGGAAAGGAGGAAGAGGCAGGTGTTAAAATTTTTCAACAAAATGATGGCTGAAACCGCTCCAGATTGGACTAAATCAATTATTCAATAAACCTACAGACTCACGAAGCTGAGCAAATCTCAGAATAATCTCAAGGAAATTAAGGCTAGGAGTAGTGGCTTACGTCTGTAATCCCAGCACTTGGGAGGATCACTTAGAGCCCAGGAATTTGAGACCAGCTTGGGCAATACAGTAAGACCCTGTTTCTACTAATTTTTTTAAAAAAATAGCCAGGTGGGCCAGGCACAGTCGCTCATGCCTGAAATCCCAGCACTTTGGGAGGTCAAGGTGGGCAGATCATGAGATCAGGAGGTGGAGACCAGCCTGGCCAACACGGTGAAACCCCGTCTCTACTAAAAATACAAAAATTAGCCAGGTGTGGTGGTGCATGCCTATAATCCCAGGTACTCGGGAGGCTGAGGCAGGAGAATCGCTTGAAAGCAGGAGGCAGAGGTTGCAGTGAGCCGAGATCACACCATTGCACTCCAGCCTGAGAGAGACAGAGAAAGGCTCCGTCTCAAAAATTAAAAAAAAATAAAATAAAATAAAAAGAAAAATGCCAGTTGTAGTGGTGCGTGCCTGTAGTTCCAGCTACTCAGGAGCCTGAAGAGAGAGGATCACTTGAGCTGGAAGTCTGAGGCTACAGTGAGCTGTGATCGCATCACTGCCCTCCAGCTTGGGCAACAGAGTGAGACCCTGCCACAAATTAAAAAAAATAATAATGACAAAGTCTATAATATTTAAATTTCTGAAAATGAAAGACTGTTGAAAGTCTTAAGAGCTGCCAGATAATAGCATCACCTTATCTATGATGGGAAATGCAATTAGAATGACAGTGGATTTCCCATCAGAAACTACTGCCTGAGAAAATAACAATATTTTTCAAGTCCTGGGGAAAATGAAATCTGTATACTCAGAAATTAAGACTTTCTTAAATGAAGGAAACCTAAGAGAATTTATTTGCAGATTGATTCTAAAAAATGGCTAAAGGGGCCTGTAATCCCAGCATTTTGGGAGGCCGACGTGGGCAGATCAGGAGATCAAGAGTTTGAGACCAGCCTGGCTAACATGGTGAAACTCCATCTCTACTAAAAATACAAAAAATGAGCTGGGCGTGGTGAAATGCACCTGTGGTCGCAGCTACTCAGGAGGCTGAGGCAGGAGAATCGGTTGAACCCAGGAGGAGGAGGTTGCAGTGAGCCGAGATAGCACCACTGCACTCCAGCCTGGGCGACTGAGACTCCATCTCAAAAACAAAAACAAAGAAAACAAAACAAAATGGCTAAAGTTTTGATGTCTAATAAGAAAAGAAACAATAAAACGAAAGCTTGGAATACTAAAAAGGAACAAAGACAAACATATGAAATGTGGGTAAATAGAATTTCCTTGTTCTCAATTTTTCCAAATCATATACTAGGGGTAAAATGAAAATTATAACACCACTGTAGTCTGAAATGTTTGTGGAAGAATTGTTGAACACAATTATAAGTAGGAGAGGGTAAGGGAACATAGGGAGAACTCAAACTGATGAAACAGCAGACTGTGATTAGTAATGTATACATAATCTAATAGCTAGAGAAACCACTTAAAAGGCTATATAAAGAGATATACAAAAACACTAAAAATAAGTCAAAATGGGATTCCAAAATATATTCAAGTAACCCAAAATTAGGCAGAAAAAAATGGAAATAAAGCAGAAAAGTATGAAAGAGCAAAAGTAATCCCAACATATCAATAACTAAATGTAAATGCTCCAAATATACCACCCCAAAATAGACACTGACAAAATAGATTAAACAACATAGCGCAACTGTATGTTATCTATAAGAAACACACTTCAAATATAACAGTAATGGTAGTTTGAAAACAAAAGGTTGGAAAATACATATCATGCAAATATTAAAGTGGCTATATTAATATCAAATAAAGTAGATTTAAGAACAAAATAAATTACCATGTATAAAAAAGGCACTGCATAATGATAGAAGGATCATTTCACCAAGAAAACATAGCAATCCTAAATGTGTATCCACCAAACAGGAGAGCAAATAGTTCATGAAACAACTGATAGAACTGAAAGCATAAACAGACAAAATCTACAATTATCAGTAGATACTTTAACACTCATCTGTCAATAATTGATAGGGCAATTAGATAGATAATCTGCAAGGGTATAGAAGTTAACAACCTCATCCACTAACAGAATCTAATCAGCATTTGTCCGCAACTTTACACTAAAACAGAAGAATATACATTCCTTTCAAGTACCCATGGTACATATTACAGAATGGAATAAAAAAAAAAAAAAAATCCCAAATTTAAAACAGGTGAAATCATTCAATCACAATGGAACCACCTGAAAACCAATAAAGACAAGCAGACAATCAAGCAAATCAATTTCTCTGAACACTTAGGAACTAACCAGACCATTTCTAAAACATCCATGGTTTAAAGCCAACATCTCTAGTGAAATTTTAAAAAATACAATGAACTGAATGAAAATGAATATTCAACATTTCAAATTCACAGGATAAAGCAAAAGCAGTGCTGAGAGGGGACTTTATAGCATTAAATACCTACCTGAGAAAAATAGAAAAAAATCTTAATCTAATCCCCAACCTGAAGAACCAAGGGGGAAAAAAAGCAAAATAAACTTAAAGCAGAAGGAATAAGTAATGAAGTAAAAGTCATTGAAATTTAAAGCAGTTAAACAATAGAGAAAAATCAATAAAATAAAAGTTTGACTGTTTGAAGAGTTCAGTCAATAAAACTGACTTGTAGCATGACAGGAAAAAAGATATAAATTACCATTATCAGAAATGAAATGGGATTTCACTATAGACCTTGCTGACATCAAATTATAATAAAAAAAACTACAACTCTCAAAACATAAATTTGACAACTTAGAATGATCGATTCTTTGAAAAACATAAAATGTCACAATTCACACAATATAAAATAGTTTGCATATCCTTCTAATACCATAAAAGGAAAATGAATTTTTCATTTGAAAACTCCCCCCAAAAATTCCACAGGTCTAGATGGTTTCACTGGAAAATTATATCTAAAGCTTAAACAAGAATTAACACCAAGTCTTCATAATTTCTTTCAGATATAGGAAAAGCAGAAAAAATTATGTGTTAGTCTGTTTTCACATTGCCTTAAAAACCTGCCTGAGACTGCATAATTTATAAAAGAAAGAGGTTTAATTGACTCACAATTCAGCATGGCTGGGGAGGCCTCAGGAAACTTATAGTTGTGGTAGAAGGTGAAGGGGAAGCAAGACATCTTCTTCACAAGGCAGCAGAAAGGAGAATAAACGCAGGAGGAACCATCAAACACTTATAAAACCATCAGATCTCGTGAGAGCTCACTCACTCTCAGGAGAACAGCATGGGGAAACTTCCCCCATGATTCAATTAGCTCAACCTGCTCTCTCCCTTCACATGTGGGGCTTATGATGATTACAATTCAAGATGAGAGTTTGGGTGGGAGCACAGCTGAAACATATTAACTTCTCAATTTACTTCATGAAGCCAGGATTACCTTGATATAAAAACAAGCCAAAGGCAGTACCAAAATGAGACCAATATTCCTCATGAATATAGACACAAAATATCTTATTAAAATGATACTTTAGCTTGGTTTATAGTGTTGTTGAAGTTTTATATATCCCTCCTAATTTTCTATTTCTTTTAGCAATTATTGAAATGTGTGCTGACATCTCTAACTATGGTTGTGGACTTGTGTATTTCTTCTTTCAGTTATATAGGGTTTTGCTTCACCTGTTTTATGTTTGTAATAGTTGCGTGAATCATTAGGACTATTATATCCTCCTGGTGAGCATCCTTAATTCTTCTTGAATTACAAGACTTCCCCCTCTGGTTTATGGTAACATGGACACTTTACAATCCTCTCTGAGCTCAGAGGACATTTTCCCTTGCTCTTTTTAGGTGGTTCTTTCCCCAACACTTGGTATCATCCTCACACTCACACATGCTGATTAGTACCTAGCCGAGGACTCCAAGGGAACACTTTGCAGATGTCCAATGCAGCTCTCTTTTCTCTGTTGTTTTGTCTTGTGAATTTCTAGCCATGTTGGCCTTCTTT
This sequence comes from Homo sapiens, assembly GCF_000001405.40. NCBI lineage: Eukaryota > Metazoa > Chordata > Mammalia > Primates > Hominidae > Homo > Homo sapiens. The sequence goes on from NT_187597.1 coordinate 98,664, forward strand.
TACTCCTCCTTTAGCCTTCCATTTCTTCATCTCAGGCGGTTCACTGGTCTCCACCAGCTCACTTTTATGGCTTAGGTCTGTGATCTTTCTTCAGTGAGTATAATAGTACAACTAATAGGGCCGATTTTATTTTTTTCTTCTCTCTGAGGTACTATTCCCCTGTGTTGCCTGATATGCAATAACTGAACATTGTTGTTTTATATATTTTGTCAATTAATTTTTTAACTGCTGTTGTGTTGTTTGGTTTTTGTTTGTTTCTTTCTTTCTTTCTTTTTTCCAGAATGGAGAATAAACCTTTTCTGTTGGGTGTATGTGTGTGTTTCCTAAACCTTCAAAGTAAGGCATAAATTACATGTACAAACGCAATTAAAATATTAGTTTAAAAAGAAAATAGAGGATGGTAGATGCAGGAATCAGATCTAGTGTTAGATGAACAGAATGCTTTCTCCTTAAAATAATAATTAAAAAATAAACCTTTAGAAGAGGCAAGGAGGATACCGAAAGGAGGTCTGTCAAAGTTGTTTATTCACTGATTTGTGATTGAGAGCTTGTTTTCCCTCTAATTAAAAAGTCACTTCATGAAAATAAGATTTTCTAATTGTGATTTATCTTTAATCCTTGCATGCAAAATGTTTCCTGAGCCATTCACGAATACTATTTAGTTTCCTCAGAGGCTCTCTAATGAATAAGGTAGCCAAGTAGGAGCCATTAGGGGCTCAATTTTTCAATGAAAAGCACATCCCTTCCTTTCCCCTCCCATTTTCATGGTTGGTAGTAGGAGAAAACATATCTATGTATAGAAATAATGTAAAGAACCTCTACTGTGGACCCTGGATCATCACATTTGTATATAAATAACATTATACACATGAGAGTATATTTGATCACATTGACTCTACCAGGACAATAAATAAATGTGAAAGCTTGTTTTTGAAAGCCGCTATACCTTTAGAGGAACAGCAGATTTATATTGCCATAAAATTCCTGATATTGACTGAATCTTTCAAATATTAATGGTGTTTATACTTCATTTGTACGTGATCACCTTATTAGACATATCTGTATGTCCGTCCAGATTGAGGGAGTCACATGATTAATAAATCATTTAATTAGAAAGACATTAGTTATTCCATTCCATTAGAGTCCTGATGTTTAATTTACTACAATTAAATGGTCAGTTTATTAAATTTCATAGGATTTAAGATTGCATCCAAGCCTATAGGACTCCAAGTTATTCAGTGGCTGTAAGTATAGCACCCAAATCCACTTAGCTGTGACTGTGGGCAATCACCTTTCTGAGGGCTTTACATATATACATTTAATCATCACACATCTGCGATGATTAAATTATAATGGCTAAATTATAATATTCACATTTTACAGAAAAAAATTAACAATCAGGTTAAGTAATCTAAAGGCATCTGCCTACAAGTGATAGAGCCACCAATCCAACAGTGTAAATGCAAAACCTGTGCACTTTTCCCTGCCCTGTGGTTCACCAGTTCTATCTTATTTCTGCTAATCCTGTTCAAATGTATAACTGATAACCAAAGCACTAAAGGACAGGATTTAACTGTATTGTAATAAAAACTCTGTAAGACAAACATTCTGCCAAAATGAACTACTCCACTGGATTCCTTGGGAACACGTCATTTCTTCACTTGGCCTGCCCATTTTTTTCTTCTTATTGCAATACTCTATATTCCTTTACTTCTAATTGAAGGTCTTTACCAGTTTGAGTTTTTAATAAAGCAAATTATTGACTGAAAAAATGAAATCTTATTTCCTTGGCCTCTTTGCTCATAATTTTTTATAGTGTAATCACAATGTAGTAATAATTATTCATTTATAAGGGACTCTGTTTTATTTATCATTCTGTTCTTAACCCCCAGTAGGTACCAAATGGATGGAAGAATGAAATAACTGATTGGATCATAAATCCAATGAATGAAGCTATAGGAATTGTAAAAAGCAAGTTTTGATCCTTCCTTCCTTCCTTCCTTCCTTCCTTCCTTCCTTCCTTCCTTCTTTCCTCTCTCTCTCTCTCTCTCTTTCTTAACCGAGTCTCATTCTGTCACCTAGGCTGGAGTGCAGTGGCGCCATCTTGGCTCACTGCAACCTCCGTCTCCCAAGTTCAAGCGATTCTCCTGCCTCGGCCTCTCAGGTAGCTGGGGTTACAGGTATGTGCCACCATGCCCAGCTACTTTTTTTGTATTTTTAGTAGAGACAAGTTTCACCATGTTGGCCAGGCTGGTCTCAAACTCCTGACCTCAAGTGATCCACCCACCTCAGCCTCCCAAAGTTCTGGGATTACAGGCAGGAACCACCATGCCCACCCAATGATCCTGTACTTTGATAAATGGATTCTTTCACAGTGGCTCTGACAAAGGGGTTTGGGTTGCAGAACCTTCACCTTTGGGATATCACACCACCTTTGGTTGCTATGAGATAATATCACCCAACCCAAATGCTAGTACCTATGTAGAAAATATAAAATCTATCTATGGAATTTATAAGCCTCATCTTTAGGCACTCTACTCCTCATTCCAATGTGTTCATGTGTTTTGTCTTGCCTACCTGGGAAACCTTTGGCAAACCTTATTCTTTCTCCATATTTACTTCATCAAATCCTCTCTCAGTAATAATACAATCATTCAATTCATACACTTAATAGTAGAAGGAGAAAGGTTTGAGGTGAGGAAAAGAAAAAAAAATGGCTGTGCGATTTCAGGACCTCAGAAAGTTGAATTACATAGGAGGTATTAGATGGCAAAGTTTCAGTCCATTTTCATGCTTCTGCTGATAAAGACATACCTGAGACTGGGTAATTTATAAAGAAAAGAAGGTTTAATGAACCCACAGTTCCATGTGGCTGGAGAGGCCTCTCAATCATGTCAGAAGGCAAAAGGCATGTCTTACATGGTGGCAGGTAAGAGAGAATGAGCACCAAGAGAAAGGGGAAACACCTTATAAAACCATCAGATCTTGTAAGACTCATTCACTACCATGAGAACAGTATAGGAGAAACTGCCCCCCATGATTCAATTGCCTCCCATAGGGTCCCTCTCATAACACGTGGAAATTATGGGAGCTACAATTCAAGATGAGATTCGGGCGGGGACACCACCAAACCATATTAGGCAGCGAAGTATCATTTCCAGTTTCCAGTTTCCCCGAAGTTACCCCACCTTCAAGAAAAGAAGAAACGTGCCTATTGCTTAGCTAATCTTCTCTTTTTATTGTTTACTTAATGTTATGTTTTCTTTTAAATCTAGTCAAGTGAAGCAGTGGGAGTAGAGAAGAGATCTTCTTTTTAAATATCTCTTCCCTGACCTCAGGTTGATTATCAGTTTTTTCCCCTGAAGACTCTAAATCTATTATTAGAAAACTATCTGATGAAGTTGCTCTAGAATAGTAGTGCTCAAGAATTGCCACATACCAGAATCATCTGAAAACTTTTCATCTATCTACGTATCTCTCTATCTATTCATTATCTTTACTAAACTTTAAAGAGGCTTCTTTTGGATTATGGGCCCCTGAACTACCTTTTCATATGGCATGTTTAGAAAACTTGTAGTTATCAATTATTTCCTTTTCCTGTTGACATACAAATCACTTTTAAAGTCTCTCAACAGTTTTACAACTCAGGATGAAGGATTAAAAGGATAAACAAATAATTTTATCTCTCATTTAGAAAAACCATGCCACATACTTTATTACCATGTATAAAAATAAACCCTAAAATAATTATGAGTGTATTAAGGCCTCCATTATAACTATTTAATGAATTAACAGAGTTTTGAAAAATAGAAGTAAAGGCATTGAATGGTATTTAATCAGTGAACAATTATATTACATGTCTTTGAACTACTGTACAAATCAGTATAAACCAAAGTGTTACTGGAAAGGGTTCTGTATTAGTCTGTTTTCATACTGCTCTAGAGAAATGTCTGAGAGTGGGTAATTTCTAAAGAAAAGAAGTTTAATTGACTCACAGTTCAGCATGGCTAGGGAGGCCTCAAGAAACTTACAATCACCTTGCAAGATGAGGCAGGCACGTCTTAGATGACGGCAGGTGAGAAAGAGCATGTGAAGAAGGAACTGTCAAACACTTATAAAACCATCAGATCCAAGTCTTTGCTATTGTAAATAGTGCTGCAATAAACATACTTGTGCATGTATCTTTAGAGTAGAATGATTTATAATCCTTTGGGGATATACCCAGGAAAGGGATTGCTGGGTCAAATGGTATTTCTAGTTCTAGATCCCTGAGGAATCACCACACTGTCTTCCACATGGTTGAACTCATTTACACTCCCACCAACAGTGTAAAAGTATTCCTATTTCTCCACATCCTCACTAGCATTTGTTGTTTCCTGACTTTTTAATGATGGCCATTCTAAGTGGTATGAGATGGTATCTCAATGCCCATCAATGATAAACTGGATAAAGAAAATATGGTACACATACACCATGGAATACTATACAGCCATAAAAATGAGTTCATGTCCTTTGCAGGGACATGGATGAAGTTAGAAACGATAATTCTCAGCAAACTAACACAGGAACAGAAAACCAAACACCACATGTTGTTACTCATAAGTGGGAGTTGAACAATGAGAACATGTGGACACAGGGATGGGAACATCACATTCCGAAGCTTGTAGGGGGGTAGGGGGCAAGGGGAGAGAGAGCATTAGGATAAATACCTAATGCATGCAGGGCTTAAAACCTAGATGATGGACTGATGGGTGCAGCAAACAACCACAGCACATGTATACCTATGTAACAAACCTGCACATTCTGCACATGTACTCCAGAACTTAAAAGTAAAATAAAAAACAAAAAGCAAGGAAAAAGAAAACCATCAGATCTTGTGATAACTCACTCACTATCACAAGAACCGCATGAAGTAAACCACCCCCATGATTCAATCACCTCCCACCAGGTCCCTCTCTAAACACCTGGGATTAAAATTCAAGATGAGATTTAAGTAGGGACACAAAGCTAAACCATATCAGGGGCTGATCCAGACTCTAAGAAAAGGTTCTTGGATCTCACACAAGAAAGAATTCAGGACAAGTCCACAGAGTAAAGTGAAAGCAAGTTTATTGAGAAAGTAAAGGAACAAAAGAATGGTTACTCCACAGGCAGAGTAGTGGGATGGGC
>NT_187596.1:0-37287 GCF_000001405.40 Homo sapiens
TACCCATGGCGATGAGGAGTACCCATGGCGATGAGGACCCATGGCGATGAGGAGTACCCATGGCGATGAGGAGTACCCATGGCGATGAGTACCCATGGCGATGAGGAGTACCCATGGCGATGAGGAGTACCCATGGCGATGAGGACCCATGGCAATGAGGAGTACCCATGGCAATGAGGAGTACCCATGGCGATGAGGAGTACCCATGGCGAGGAGTACCCATGGCGATGAGGAGTACCCATGGCGATGAGGACCCATGGCAATGAGGAGTACCCATGGCAATGAGGAGTACCCATGGCGATGAGGAGTACCCATGGCGATGAGGAATACCCATGGCGAGGAGTACCCATGGCGATGAGGAGTACCCATGGCGATGAGGAGTACCCATGGCGAGGAGTACCCATGGTGATGAGGAGTACCCATGGCGATGAGGACCCATGGCAATGAGGAGTACCCATGGCGATGAGGAGTACCCATGGCGATGAGGAATACCCATGGCAAGGAGTACCCATGGCGATGAGGAGTACCCATGGCGATGAGGAGTACCCATGGCGATGAGTACCCATTGCGATGAGGAGTACCCATGGCAATGAGGAGTACCCATGGCGATGAGGAGTACCCATGGCGATGAGTACCCATTGCTATGAGGAGTACCCATTGCGATGAGGAGTACCCATGGCGATGAGGAGTACCCATGGCGATGAGTACCCATGGCGATGAGGAGTACCCATGGCGATGAGGAGTACCCATGGCGATGAGGACCCATGGCAATGAGGAGTACCCATGGCGATGAGGAGTACCCATGGCGATGAGGAATACCCATGGCGAGGAGTACCCATGGTGATGAGGAGTACCCATGGCGATGAGGAGTACCCATGGCGAGGAGTACCCATGGCGATGAGGAGTACCCATGGTGATGAGGAGTACCCATGGCGATGAGGAGTACCCATGGCGAGGAGTACCCATGGCGATGAGGAGTACCCATGGCGATGAGGAGTACCCATGGCGATGAGGACCCATGGCGATGAGGAGTACCCATGGCGATGAGGAGTACCCATGGCGATGAGTACCCATGGCGATGAGGAGTACCCATGGCGATGAGGAGTACCCATGGCGATGAGGACCCATGGCAATGAGGAGTACCCATGGCAATGAGGAGTACCCATGGCGATGAGGAGTACCCATGGCGATGAGGAATACCCATGGCGAGGAGTACCCATGGCGATGAGGAGTACCCATGGCGATGAGGAGTACCCATGGCGAGGAGTACCCATGGCAATGAGGAGTACCCATGGCGATGAGGAGTACCCATGGCGATGAGGACCCATGGCGATGAGGAGTACCCATGGCGATGAGGAGTACCCATGGCGATGAGGAATACCCATGGCAAGGAGTACCCATGGTGATGAGGAGTACCCATGGCGATGAGGAGTACCCATGGCGAGGAGTACCCATGGCAATGAGGAGTACCCATGGTGATGAGGAGTACCCATGGCGATGAGGAGTACCCATGGCGAGGAGTACCCATGGTGATGAGGAGTACCCATGGCGATGAGGAGTACCCATGGTGATGAGTACCCATGGCCAGCTCATGGCGTATAGTGGACTGCTGTGCCTGGCACTCAGGGCAGGCTGGAGCAAGTGCTGTGCTCATCACCATGGCAGCATTGCAGCGGGGCCCGGAGGGTCTGTGGCCATCACTCAGAGACGCCCCGGCTCCGTGGAACAGGCACAGGGCTGGACCACGGAAGTGCCTGAGCCGAGACAGGTGGGATCTGCGGTTTCCACCCTGGAGGGGAAGCTTGCTCACAAGGAGAGGGAAGCCTCAGTGTGTGGCTGTGGCCTCGAACCTCATCCCTATGAAGAAGGAGGGATGCCCTGGAGAGGGCGGAAGGGCCGGGGAGGGCACAGCCCGGCTGGTGGGGTCTGCAGGGAACCACAAAAGGTGGACAAGGCCCGGCAGGTGGGCAAGCCTTAGCCAGAGGTGGGAGGAGAGGAGAGGACCCCATGCCAGCCTGAGCAGCGTGGGGGTGCCCGGAGGCTGCAGCCCACACTGGATTCCGTCTTCTCTGTGAGGAGCAGTTGGGAAGGGCTCGAGAGGTGCTTGGCTGCCTCAGAGTCAGGCCGCGGTGAAGGGAGGCGCCTTTTAGGGTGCTGAGGACTCGAGCTGAGACTGTGGGACGAGGCAGAGAACTCAGCTTCAGCAAACTAGACATATGTGAGCCTGGTGTGGCTTCCAGGCACGAACCTAGAGTAGGGGTGTTTGTGAGTGTGAAAGCACTGAGCCTAGAGATCTGCCTTGACGTTAGCAAGACACCAACAGATGTGCGAGCGAGGCTCCAGGCTCCATCGCTCCCTGATCCGCTGGCGGAGCCAGAACACAGAGCGTGGAGTGGAAAGTGTGTTTTGAATTTAGTAAAGTGTTGGGAAGCAGCCACTCAGATACTCTCGTGGACAGAGCTGATGGCTGGACACACATGTGATCTGCTTTCCCTCCTGAAGTCCCGGGACAGGGGCAGTGAAGGGATCTCGCTAAAAGTACAAACCCACGTGCTCAAAGGAGGGTGTGAGCGGCAGCGTCATGGCAGCTGGAAGACTGATGATGGGTGAGGGGAGCCGGTAGCTGACACAAGGAAGCAGAATGCTAAGCTGCTGCCAGAGCCCTGAAGCTGCACAGAACTGTCAGTGCCCAGTGCCTGGTGTCCGTGCAAAGGTGACCTTGGCAGATGAATGACTGCATGAGAGCAGCTGCACACAGAGCTGTCCCTCCGCCCTCTGTCCTGTGACGGTCCCCACAGCTGTGTCCAGACCCGTCCCTCCATCTGAGACAGTCCCTGCGGCTGTGCCCAGACCCACCCCTCCATCCCGAGACAGTTGCCGCGGCTGAGCCCAGACCCGTCCTTCCATCCCGAGCCAGTCCCCGTGGATGCGCCCAGACCCGTCCCTCCATCCGGAGACAGTCCCCGCGGCTGCACCCAGACCCATCCCTCCATCCCAAGACAGTCCCCGCGGCTGCGCCCAAACCCGCCCCTCCATCTGGAGACAGTCCCCACGGCTGAGCCCAGACCCGTCCCTTCATCCTGACACAGTCCCCGTGGCTGCACCCAGACCCGTCCCTCCATCCCGACACAGTCCCCCAGTCCCCGTGGCTGAGCCCAGACCCGCCCCTCCATCCCGACACAGTCCCCCAGTCCCCGCGGCTGCACCCAGACCCGTCCCTCCATCCCGACACAGTCCCCCAGTCCCCGCGGCTGCACCCAGACCCGTCCCTCCATCCCGACACAGTCCCCCAGTCCCCGCGGCTGCACCCAGACCCGTCCCTCCATCCCGACACAGTCCCCCAGTCCCCGTGGCTGAGCCCAGACCCGCCCCTCCATCCCGACACAGTCCCCCAGTCCCTGCGGCTGCACCCAGACCCGTCCCTCCATCCCGACAGTCCCCCAGTCCCCGCAGCTGAGCCCAGACCCGCCCCTCCATCCCGAGACAGTCCCCGAGGCTGAGCCCAGACCTGCCCCTCTATCCTGACACAGTCTCTGCAGCTGAGACCAGACCCATCATCCCATCCTGAGGCAGTCTCCGCGGCTGCACCCAGAGCCGTCCCTCCATCCCGAGACAGTCCCCGGGGCTGAGCCCAGAGCCATCCCCCCATCCCGTGACAGCCTCTGCGGCTGCGCCCAGAGCCCTCCCTCCATCCTGAGTCCCCGTGGCTGCGCCCAGAGCCGTCCCTCCATCCTGCCACAGTCCTGTGGTTAAGGGCCTTCTTGGCAGAAGACTGGGACCGGACCACCTCTCTGGAGAGGACACAGCCATAGCACTCCTGGGTCACCGGACAACTGGAGAACAGGCCAACAGCTGAGGAAAAGGAGAGTGACCGTTGGTTGAGGCTCCCCAGGCCTCCTCTCCAACGTGGTTCCCAGAATGTGGAAGACCCGCCTTGGCATGATCTGACCAGCTCGAGAGGAAAATTCAAAAGAGAATGATGTTGGATTCTCCCCAGTAAAAGAGTCCAGGAAGGCTGCCTCAGTGCAGCTACAGTCAACAAGTCCCGCCCTGTGCCCAGCACTAGAGTGGGCATGGGGCATTTTTGGTTGTCATTTTTGGTTGTCACAGCCTGGGGGTGCTGCTGTCACCCCACAGGCAGAGTCTGGGGTGCTGCTTGGCACCCAGTAACACACAGGGCAGCCCCTCCACAAAGGATTTTCTGGCCCCAAATGTGGAGAGTGCTGAGGCCCCGGGGGGGATGCATCCCCAGAGCATCAGTCCTGCGATTCCTGGAGTGCGTGCCCACCATGGAGGTGACCACCTCTGAACCCGCAATGTCCCTTGCTGGCAGGTTTCATGGCCCCCGAGCTCCTGCAGGGCGAGGAGTACGACTTCTCCGTGGACTACTTTGCCCTGGGGGTCACCCTGTATGAGATGATTGCGGCCAGAGGACCCTTCCGAGCCCGTGGAGAGAAGGTAGGAGGCGGCCGGCAGGTGTCTCTGCAGCCACCTTGGCGCCCTGGCTCTCGATGGGGACGGGGCAGTGATGGGATCGTTACTGGGGCAGACCTGGGAGTTGTTCTGTGGGCCCTGGGGTGGGGAGGGCACAGATTCACGTGCTGGGGTCTTGCTCCTGGGCCATGCTGTTCTGTCTCAGTGGGTGACGCCCCCAGCCCCTGAGGCCTGCAGGTGGAGGGGCTGAGGGATTCCCAGTCACCCTGTGCCCCAGAGCAAGCAGACCCTCCCACCAGACAGCACGCCACCACTCAGCCTCTGAGGGCCCTGTGGGGGCCGGTCCCTCTGGTGCAGACCGGAGGAGGGAGGGCGACTTATCCCACTGTTGCCCCAGACCCTGGGCAGTGGGACAAACCACCTTTTGTGGTTTGGGGTGGAGCTTCATCCCCTGGGGACTGGCGAGGCTGAGGCTGGGGCTCTGGGGGACACGGAGTCGGCTCCCCCTCCCTGGACGGTCTTATCCATCGCTGTTGCAGAAGAGCAAGCTCCCCTTCTTCCCAGACACCAAGAACCCACAGCCCATGGTGGGCCCAGCAGCTGCTCTGAATGTCCCGGAGTGTGGACACCTAGTGGGGCTGCTGGGTCTCCCCTGAGTGCCCCCTGGGCTGGCCCGGATCCTAGGCCACCAGAACTGCAAATAGGGATAACATTGGGAGGTGCCAGTCCCTTATTCAAGACAAGTGGAGAAAAGCTGGCTTTTTCCCTGTGAGGCTGACTCAGAGCTCAGGGCTGGGGCTGCCTCTCGTTGGACGGAGGGGGTGGCCGCACGGAGCCAGAAGGCCACCGTCTCAGAGTTGCATCAGGCTGCCTTGAGGTGCGGCTCTTCCCTGGCCACCCATCGCCCCCTCAATGCCACCTGGGCGATGCCCACCCCTCTCCCTTCTGACTTCCCTGGACATGTGACCTGTCCTGCCAGGACAGGTTTCAGAGCAGAGTCGTCCCAGGACCACTAGCACGCCCGTGGTCACTCTGTGTCTGTGGGACGTGGCACAGGCGTGGGCTGCCAGGGCAACCCGTGGGAGTAGCGTCAATGGCCTGATCCGGGGGCCTTGGGGACTGAGCAGCACCCTTCACACTGTACCCACTGGTGGGGCCTCTGATGGGGAAGTGAGACCTTGGCAGCACTCCTGAAGACAACAGAGCCACCGAGGCTTCCGTCCACCGTGGCGGAGTGAAAACGGAGGCTGCTTCTCAGCTGGGCCCGCGCTGGCCTTCAGTTTCCTATCTTTCCTTCCTTGGTGGGTGCGGCTGTGCTGGGGGTGGGTCAGCCAGAGTCCCCAAAATGCACGGCACCCACCTGTGGCTCCTGGGAGCTTCGCCTTTAGGATTCCATTCCTGAGACTGGAGCCTCAAACGCTGCTGTGCTGGGGAGGGGCACAAGGCCTCATGGGTCCCCCACCCGCGTGGGTGAGCGGTGGCTCTTGTGGGAGGAGCTGTGGTCTGGTCTGACCACCCAAGAGAGGCGGGTCTGGCAGGGCTAAGGCTACGCGTGTCCCCACAGGTGGAGAACAAGGAGCTGAAGCACCGGATCATCTCAGAGCCCGTGAAGTACCCTGATAAGTTCAGCCAGGCCAGCAAGGACTTCTGCGAGGCGCTGCTGGAGAAGGACCCGGAGAAGCGCCTGGGGTTCAGAGATGAGACCTGCGACAAGCTCCGTGCCCACCCCCTCTTCAAGGACCTTAACTGGAGGCAGCTGGAGGCTGGTACTGTTGGACGCCTCAGCCCCGGAGAGGGTGGGGTTCTGTGCTGTGTGGCCCTTGGGTGTCCGCCCGGTCCAGCCTGTGAGAGTCGGCAGGGAGGAGTGCCTCAGACCCCCAAGGCTCTCCCTCTGCCCCCAGCAAGGCCCCCAGTCCTCCACTCATCATCCCAGCCCCAGGACAAGCCGATGGAGCCGGCATCGGGCCAGAGGGCTCTGGGTGCAATGGGAGGCAGGAAACACACTGGCCGCACTGGGGCCTCGAGACCCAAACCTTCCACCACGTCCCCTGGTGCTGGAGGGAGCCCAAGATCAAATGGAGGCCAGTGGCTCAGGCCGTCTGCCGGGGAGAAAGTCATCCACCCACCAGCACTTGCTTGACAAGTGGATGCGGAAGATACTATGTGCGCGCGTGTGTGTATGTGTGTGCACGTGTGTGTGTATGTGTGCATGTGTGCGCGTGTGTGCATGCGTGTGCGCGCACGTGTGTGCATGTATGTGTATGTGTGTGCATACGTGTGTGTGCACGTGTGCGCATGTGTATGTGTGTGCATACGTGTGTGCTCATGTATGTGTGCATACGTGTGTGTGCACGTGTGTGTGCATGTATGTGTGCATACGTGTGTGCGTGTGTGCGCACGTGTGTGCGCGCGCGTGTGTATGTGTGCATACATGTGTGTGCGTGTGTATGTGTGTGCATACGTGTGTGCATGTGTGTATGTGTATCTGTGCGTGCGTGTGTGTGCACGTGCGTGCGCATGTGTATGTGTGCATACGTGTGTGCGTGTGTGCATACGTGTGTGCGTGTGTGCGTGTGTGTATGTGTGTGTGCATACAGTGTGCGTGTGTGCATGTGTGCATACGTGTGTGCGTGTGTGTGCATACGTGTGTGTGCGTGTGTGCGCATGTGTGTGCATACGTGTGTGCGTGTGCGCGCATGTGTGTGCGTGCGTATGTGTGTGTGCATACGTGTGTGTGCATGTGTGTGCGTGTATGTGTGTGTGTTCATGCACTTTTGCATCTGAGACACAGCCATACCCTCTAGGACCCTGTGGTCAGGTGGAAGGGTCAGGCCACGTGCAGTGTGACTAACTTAGGACAGGGCCACAGGTGACCAGGGAGCAGAAGACCCCCCAAACGAGAAGTCGCTTTCGTATGTTAGGGTCACAGCAGTGACTGCCAGACAGGTGCCCTGGGCAGGCCCAGCGAGGCAAGGATGGCTGTGGTCAGGGAACCCAAGGGGGCTCCAAGGGGTCACAGGATGAGGAGGGGACCCCGCCCGCCCTGTAAGGAAGTCTGAGCCACAGAAGGGTTTGAGCCCAGAAGTGTTGAGGTCAAAGTGAGGCTGAGGAGGAACCACACGGCGGCTGTGCAGTGTCTGCTGGCACTGGGAGGTGGTCCTGAGGCCGTCACAGAGGCCGTCTGGGGGCCAGCATGGGCCAGCCGGGTCAGGGTCGGTGCACCGAGAGGAGAGTGATGTCTGTGACCGGCTGTGCCTGGCCATCGGGGGCCGGTGCGTCAGGGAGGGACGCTGGTTGGAAGGAAGCTGCCAAGTTCACCGGAGCGTGTGCTTGAGTGCCTGGGGTCTGGGGTCTGCAGAGTGCGCAGGGGAGGCCCTGGTGGGGATGGGGCCCCAGGGGAAGGCGTGTTCGGGGAGGAGACCGCTTCATGACGAGACCCTAGGGGAGGCTCCCAACAAGGCAGATGTGAGCGCCAGGTCCTTTCACAAGAAGGCTCCAAAATGAGCCCTGGGATCTCAGGCTTCTTCCGGCCCCACTCAAGCCCCAGCTGTGTGGTCTCAGGGGAACCCAGGGGCCTTCTGGGAACACTGGGCTTTCTCTCTCAGCCTCCACGACACTTCCCTAAGGAAGAGCGGCCCCAGGCCTTTGTGCATCTGGGAGCCATGGGGGAGGGGGCTTTTTGGCTAAACGGCGCTTCCTTGCCACCACGAGGAGCCTGGCGTCTGTGTTTTCTGTCTCCCACAGGGATGCTGATGCCCCCTTTCATCCCAGACTCCAAAACTGTCTACGCAAAGGATATTCAGGACGTGGGTGCCTTTTCCACCGTCAAAGGTGTGGCCTTTGACAAAACAGACACAGAATTCTTTCAGGAATTTGCCACTGGCAACTGCCCCATCCCCTGGCAGGAGGAGATGATCGAGACGGGCATCTTTGGCGAGCTGAACGTGTGGCGCTCGGACGGTCAGATGCCGGACGACATGAAGGGCATCTCCGGGGGCTCCAGCTCCTCGTCCAAGTCAGGGATGTGTCTGGTTTCCTAGGTGACGCCCCAGAGTCCACGTGGAGGAAAAGGACCCATACGGCTCGATGGGGGCCGCCTGCCTCCGTGGTGCCAGCCTGGGGTCTGCTAGCAAGGGGACACGTGGTTCCCTCCACCCAGGTCCCCATCACGCCATCTCCTTGCGGCCCAAGGAGGAGAAAGCCCACATCGGCCTGAGCCGCCAGACGCACATGCTGGTGCCGTGAGCCCCCGACTGCATATTTCACGTCTTTTGCTCCATCTCACTGAGAAGACATAAGATGCTCTCCAGAGGGAGTAAGCCAAAAATCTACAAACTCTTAGGGAGCCTCCTGCATTGGTGATTGACCAACCGTGTGGTCAGGGGCAGAGACTCGGTTTTGGCCTCCCAAGACCTTAGCCATTGGCTTCCCAGAGCCACGCTCCTCAGCGGGAGGTGCACGGTGGCCAGGTCAGGGGTCAGTGAACCCTGGCCGCAGCCCCTGGCCCCACTGGGGAGGGCTGGACCTCGCCCCCCCCAGGTCCCTCTGTGCAGGCTCCTGCCTTCCAGGGTGCCCGGGCCCTGTGCTGGTGGCCTGCACGCCACATGGTCCCCTGCACCCTGCGGCGCCGTGGTCCTCTGCACACTGGGGCACCATGGTCCCCTGCACTCCGGGGTGCCGTGGTCCACATCTGCCAGGCGCAGGCTCTGTTGGGCTGTTGGGAGGAGGGGAGCGGGTGTGGAGTCTGGGGGTCTCAGTGCATCTTGGGGTCTCCTTATCTCAGGGTGTCCAGCTGACGGCAGCTGGTGCAAAGTTCCCACCCCTGAGCTGGGGAGCTGAAAATGTTTTCTGTCTTGACCCTGAGTCCCGGAAGCACCTCAGCTGCTCTTGGCGGGCAAAGCCAGGACCGTTTGCTCTCTGACCCTCCTCCCCACTGGGGCTGGTCCGTCTCATCTCCCAGGGGACACTTCAGGCCACGGGCCTTGTGCATAGGGACAGAGCTCCTTGCTGCAACCCCTCTCTGTGTTCCCAGTAGCAGCAGCACTGGAGTCCTAAAGCCATAGCCCGGGAAGACACTCACAGCCCACCTTCTCATACAGCTCGGCCCCACCCACAATGCACCTGGCATTTCCAACTGCACTTTGAACACTGAAGGTTCCCCAAATGCTTTGTGTGTTTTAACTGCAGGAAGTTAGTTCTGTTGCAACTGCCTCCAGGACACACTCCCTCTTGAGGGCCGGCGGTGCTGGCCTGGGTTCCATGGCCTCAGCAGCCGGCTCAGAGGGAGTGCATCCAAGCCGCAGGGAAGCAGTGGTGATGGGTGGCCTGAGGACTCCTTTCCAGAGAGGGCCTCTGAGCTCCTTTTAGGAAAGAACTTCCTTTGAGCCCCGGCCACTGTTGTACCAGTGGGAGAAGAAGCCTGACCCTGCCACATGTGGTCACGGGGAGAGAAGATGGTAGGACGTCCCCGTGAGCCTTGGGGCAGAGCTGGTGGTAGAAAGAAGCCCTGTCTACTCTAATTTGGTGAGAGGGGCCGCGGCAAGTGGCTGATGATGTGACTGATGGAGACAGGGTGGCTTGGGAAGGTCCCACTTGGGGGTGTCACGTCCTGCAGGGAGTGGAAGAGATGGATCCTCCGTAGCCTGGACTGGTGGGTCTCGGCCTCTCTCCCAGAAATGGCAGAGACAGCTGCCTGAGAGTCAGTGCTGCAGTGGGCAGGGCCTATGCCCTCACAGTCCTCAGGCTGCCAGGTCGTCCTCTTCCTGTTGGGGAGAAGAGGACCCTGGCAATCCACAATTTTGGAGATTTGCTGGCTGCAGCCAAAATGGGGACCCAACTCCCTCCTATGTGGTTTTAGAGCTTCTGGAGGGAAGATAGGCCACGCCCCTGGGTGAGGAGCACGTCTTCCCACAGATCCTAAGTCGGCCACACCCTGGGTGAGGAGCACGTCTTCCCATAGGTCCCACATCAGCCACACCCTGGGTGAGGAGCACGTCTTCCCATAGATCCCAAGTCGGCCACACCCTGGGTGAGGAGCACGTCTTCCCATAGATCCCACGTCGGCCACACCCCGGGTGAGGAGCACGTCTTCCCATAGATCCCACATCGGCCACACCCCGGGTGAGGAGCATGTCTTCCCATAGATCCCACATCGGCCACACCCCGGGTGAGGAGCACGTCTTCCCATAGATCCCACGTCGGCCACACCCTGGGTGAGGAGCACGTCTTCCCATAGATCCCACATCGGCCACACCCTGGGTGAGGAGCACGTCTTCCCATAGATCCCACGTCGGCCACACCCTGGGTGAGGAGCACGTCTTCCCATAGATCCCACATCGGCCACACCCCGGGTGAGGAGCATGTCTTCCCATAGATCCCACATCGGCCACACCCTGGGTGAGGAGCACGTCTTCCCATAGATCCCAAGTCGGCCACACCCTGGGTGAGGAGCACGTCTTCCCACAGATCCTAAGTCGGCCACACCCTGGGTGAGGAGCACGTCTTCCCATAGGTCCCACGTCAGCCACACCCTGGGTGAGGAGCACGTCTTCCCATAGATCCCAAGTCGGCCACACCCTGGGTGAGGAGCACGTCTTCCCATAGATCCCACGTCGGCCACACCCTGGGTGAGGAGCATGTCTTCCCATAGATCCCACGTCGGCCACACCCTGGGTGAGGAGCACGTCTTCCCACAGATCTCAACAGAACTCCACATCGTCTGGTTTTGTGGAGACTTTCATATGTCCTGTCAAGTTGCCTCATGCACCTGCAGACTGTTCTTGGGAAGCAAACCTGGACTGCAAAATAAACCTCCCGGCCTCCTCCTGTCCTGGCTCTGAGCGTCTGACACTTCTGAGACCTGGGATGTTCAGGAGGAGCTGTGGGGCGTCCAGTGCTTTTTGACATAAAACTACCCATCCAGGTGCACCTGAGCAGGCGCAGGCAGGCACAGGAGGAGGCCCGTGGGAAGCGGCCTGCAGGACAGATTTCCGTGCCCACTCTTTCTCCTTCCTTCCTTCCTTCCTCCTTCCCTCCCTTCCTTCTCTTTCTTTCTTTTCTCTTCTCTTCTTTCCTTCTTTCCTTCTCTTTCTTTCTCTTTTTCTTTTTTTCCTTTCCTTTCCTTCCTTCTTTTCTTTCTTTCTTTCTTTCCTTCCTTCCTTCCTTCTTTCCCTCCCTCCCTCCCTTTCTGTTTCTTTTCTTTTCTTTTCTTTTTGAGACAGATCTCTCTCTGTCACCCAGGCTGGAGTGCAGTGGCACAATATCAGCTCACTGTAACCTCTGCCTCCCGAGAAGCTCAGGTTCAAGCAATTCTCCTGCCTCAGCCTCCCGAGTAGCTGGGACTGCAGGTGCCTGCCACCATGCCTGGCTAATTTTTTGTACTTTTAGTAGAGATGGGGTTTCACCATGTTAGCCAGGATGGTCTTGATCTCCTGACCTCGTGATCCACCCGCCTCAGCCTCCCAAAGTGCTGGGTTTTTGTATTTTTAGTAAGAGATGGGGTTTCACCATGTTGGCCAGGCTGGTCTTGAACTCCTGACGTCAGATGATCCGCCCGCCTCGGCCTCCTGTTTTGTTTTCTAGAATGTTACACATCGATTAGGTAATGGCTATCAGTCTCACTTCATACACTCTGGAACATGAAAGACTCCATTTCTGATTTTTTAAACCCATTTTAACCTGCCTTGCATTCCTATGGCCCTGGACAGGTAAGCAATCTCATCCTGGCTTTACTGGGATCAGGGGGCTTGGAGGGGCTATGAGTGGTCGCAGCAGTGGAGGGAAGCCTGGCTCCCGGTGCCAAAGAGCCCCGTGGCCCCCCCAGGCCCACCAGCAAGACCCTCTGCCTGTTTTAGGGCTGGGTTGCCAGACACGATACAGGACATCCCAATGAATTTCAATTTCAGATAAATAAGGAATCATTTTTTAGTGTAAGTCTATCCCATGCAGTGTTTGGGACATACTTGACCTAAAAAATGATTCATCATTTTTCTGAAATTCAGATTTAATGGGATGTTCCGCAGTTTTCTTTTGGTTAACTCTGGCAAGCCTGTTGCAGATTATATATTTACCTGTAAGATCAGCAGTGGTTCCACTGCACAGGCAACCTGTTGGGATAAAACCACAAAAGCAGCTTCGTTTTTGGCTTCTGCCATCTCTTGGGTCAGTTGAGTGGTGTTTTCACCCCTCGATGAAACTCATGCTCACCCCATGCATTCATACAAGGCATTCGAAAGCCCTATTGTCACTTTATTTTTTATTTATTTTTTTTTGAGACGGAGTCTTACTCTGTCGTCCAGGCTAGAGTGCAGTGGCGCCATCTCGGCTCACTGCAAGCTCCGCCTCCCGGGTTCACGCCATTCTCCTGCCATAGCCTCCCAAGTAGCTGGGACTACAGACGCCCGCTGCCATGCCTGGCTAATTTTTTGTATTTTTCAGTAGAGACGGGGTTTCACCGTGTTAGCCAGTATGGTCTCGATCTCCTGAGCTGGTGATTTGCCGGCCTCGGCCTCCCAAAGTGCTGGGATTACAGGCGTGAGACACGGTGCCTGGCCTCTTGTCACTTTATTTTTAAAAACTTCTAAATCTTTGTGTCCCATGGAGAAAATACATCACGAATGCTGAGTCAATGATCCTACGGAGACACCCCGGCGGGCCCTGCCCAGTTCTGGAGCTCTGACACTGCCTGCCCCCGCCTGTTTGCTCCCCACCCAGGCAGCACCAGCCTCCTCTCAGGGGCTCAGTGTGCGTGGCCCCATAATGGTCACAGCTCCACATGCGATGAGCTTTGGTGCCTCCGTTCCCGCGGGGCTGCAGTGTCTGACGGTGGCGGTGCATGTGTCTCATGCCCACCTGCCTGCAGAGTGGCCCTGCTTCCTGTGGCCAGCCTCGGCCTCTGGCTCTTCAGGGCTGAGCTGGGATGAAGGAAGGCATCCAGGGCTATTCTTGCCTGCCTGGTGCTGCTGCACGTGGCTCAGTGCCCTCCGGGCAGATGTCTCTATGGACTCTTCATCTGGGCCCTCTGTTGTGGGCAGTCTTGGGGTTTCAGGCCCCTGAATCTGGGCAAATACTCTCTCCTCAGCGGGGACGACCCCCTGCTGCCCTCCCTGGGCTCTCTCTCGGTGCTGCCTGGACCAGCAACACCCCGCTCTGCTGCCCAGGCAGCCGTCTGGCCAGTCTGGGTTTGTAATCTCCCTTGGGGTCAGCAAAGGATGGGACTGCACATCAAGAGGCCCAGGCATCTGGGCATCTGGCTGCAGTGAGGCAGGCATAGGTGCACCCTCTGCAGAGAAGCTCTCAGCTTCAATCCTCTTATCCTCAATGTAGGCCACGGCCCCCTCAGAAGCCCATGGGAATCCCTGCAAGGTGGCTTTGTCTCATCTGCGGAGGTGGCTGATGCGATCGGCTCATGCTGGGGCCAAAAACATGGCAAGAAACGTCCCACTGTCAACCTCCCGGGCAAGCGTGTGCACCTGCAGCTCAGGGCCAGCCCACCACACTGCCTTAGTGACACTGCAGCCGGGGGAGCCACAGGCCGCCAGCAGGCTGAGGAACAATGCCGTGTGACCTTTCCTTTTGTAAAAAACAAAAACTGCAATTTTTATTCAAATAAAAAAAGGGTAAAAATAAAAGTTAATAAGGAAGAGTGAGTCCCTGGATTGTGATATGATTTCCAAGTCACATACTTTCCTTCAGAATTACACACAGGTGCACACATGCGCACACACACACACCTCTACACACATACATGCATGCGACATGCCTTCATTTTCATCTCCATGTAGCTGGCAGACGTCAACATTGTCGGTCAGGGCTGAGTCCCCAGCGTCTGCACTTGCTCACGCGTCCTCCTTGTTGCAGTGAGCACCGGGAGCTTCACCCACATTCACACTGGCTCAGGGCTGTCCTGCGGGAGCTGCCTGCTTTCCCTCTGCCTCTGGCCTCCTCCCCTGGAGGAGAAACGGCTGGAGCTGCAGGCATCTCTCCCGTCCCCTCTGCGCTGCGGTGGTGCTAGGCACTCCCATGAGGGCTGGCAGAGAGAAGGAAGCCAGGGCTTCCCAGGAGAGACCGTGGAGCTCAGCATGGATGCATGAGAGGCCGTGGAGCTCAGCGTGGATGCAGAAGAGGGCGTGGAGCTCAGCATGGATGCATGAGAGGCCGTGGAGCTCAGCGTGGATGCATGAGAGGCCGTGGAGCTCAGCGTGGATGCAGAAGAGGCCGTGGAGCTCAGCGTGGATGCGTGAGAGGCCGTGGAGCTCAGCGTGGATGCGTGAGAGGCCGTGGAGCTCAGCGTGGATGCAGAAGAGGCCGTGGAGCTCAGCGTGGATGCGTGAGAGGCCGTGGAGCTCAGCGTGGATGCGTGAGAGGCCGTGGAGCTCAGCGTGGATGCCTGAGATGCTGTGGAGCTCAGCGTGGATGCGTGAGAGGCTGTGGAGCTTAGCGTGGATGTGCCTATGGGGCCAGCTGGCCTCTGGGGAGGGCCGTGCCAGAGACAGCCTTGCAGGAAATTTGGGGCCGGTTCTGATAACTCCAGCAAGGGCTGCAGGCTCAGCACTTCTTATTTTATTCCTTTACTCAACTATTTATGATATTGTCAGAGTGGCGGTTCTTTCTTTTTTCCTGTCTGCGGTCTGTGGGTTTGCTGAGTATGGAATTACCTCAATGTGAGCTCCACCACAGCGAGTCCTCGAAAAGCTGGCAGTCTCTGGCTGGGGCCCGTTGTGTTTTGTTTTACAATGGGGGTCTGTCCCCTCTGTGAGTGTTTAGACACGTAAATGGGCCTCAATTGCAAATAAAATGTACAGATTACAGGCATTATGCCAGTCAATGGAAGAGCAGTTTTGAAAGAAAACCTCAATCTGATAACATGAAATTACAAATAAATATGAGATTGGTTCTCAGTTTCTATCTAGGCAATTTAAAATGGATATAAGAAGCCTTGATTTGATTTTTAAAAAACCAAGCCCCAATCCCCCAATTACAGTAGTGAAATGTTCTTCCAAGTTCAACCTTTTTATTTGCAAGACAAATGAGCTGAAGGCTGAATGTTACCAAGGGTGAGGCATTGTGCTGGGGTTTGAGGACGACAGCATGGAGAGCGATGTACCTGGCATTCTCCCGCTGGCATGGGTGGGATGGCTCACTGAGCCTCAGCTCTCGGTCCCTGGCATTCTTCGGCTGGCCTTGTGGGGGCGACTGGCTGAGCCTCAGCTCTTGTCCTGTCACGTGGGTCCCAGGAGCCCCACTGCCACCCTGGCCTGTCAGTATCCGATATGCACTGTGTGCTTGGAGGCGAACTGTCCAGCGGGTCTGGTTTCACAACTGCAAAGGGCGTGGCTCTCTCCCTGCAGTGGGGTGATGCAGAGGCTGCTGCACTCTGCACTTTAGAAAAATGCCGCCTAGAACAGGAGGTGCTGGTGAGCCGCCGTTGCCCGGCTCAGGGCTGCGAGAGGGTGGGCTTCAGGCTTCCCGGGGGGTGTAATTCTGCCTTTCCTGCTGGGAGCCCTGAAGAGGTCCCCGGTCACATGGTGACAGAGGCCTTCTAGCAAAGTGCAAGGAGTGTGTTTAATTTTTAAAAATTCATGTCTCTGGGGGCACCTCCTGTCCCCTTCCTGCCCTCACCCCACACCCTGTACAGACAGGCGGGGCGGCCCCTCCCGCTCCCTCATGGCTCGGCTTACGTTATTCATCCCCTGCTCCATTTCATGGGCATTTTGTTACAGGAAGGGTCATGTTTTGCTGCCAGCACTACTGATCCCTGAGAGCTGAGAGCCAGGCCACGTGCACACACGGGTGCCTCAGCAACGACTCCCACCTGAGCTGGGGCCAGGATGAGGAGGCTCTGAACAAACGGGAGGAACTGAGCTTCACAGTTCACGTAACTGCCACCTTCTTAGAGCCCACGTCATTGTCTGAGTCTTGTTGACTCACATCTGCTCAAGCCAATGGGTATTCCCAGCAGTCAGGCCCCCGTGGGTCCCCCATGTCCTCTGCCCAGCGGCCGTGGTGGGTATGGGTAGGAGAAGACCAGGCGTCCCCGTGGCCTCGGCCCAGCAGGTGCTGGTCTGAGTTTGGCAGTTTGGCCTGTATGGTCCTCCTGCAGCTTTTGTTCAGGGAGTGCCTCCTGTGAGAACTGGGGCGAAGGTCCCTGCCCTCAACGAGCTTCTTTTGAACTCAGTAGTGCCTCGGCCACCACACCCCCAATTCCTCCTGCCCTGCTTTTATGCAAAAAAGCCTCAGCTTTTGACTCTTAGAGCTCCAGGGGAGGCCCATTCCCTTGGCAGGTCCCAGCAGCTCCTTCCCCCAACAGGGCTGTGTGGTTGGGGAGGCCCCTCTCCCCAGGTGGAATCAAGGCTAATCGCCTGCCCTGATGGCCCTATCGGGTGAGTCTGGAATCATCCTGATCATTTTTCTGGAGGCTGCATGTACCTTCTTCCTCTGCTTCCTCCCCTGTTCCAGTGGGGGCCAGTAGAATCTGGGGCTCTAGGGAGGGGTCCGTGTGGGAGCTCCAGGCAGGTCTTTCTGTTTTGGTTTCTCCAAAGTCTAAACCCTAAGGAGAAAGAAGCAGGGAAAGAGGAAGAAGGGGATTCACAGGCCTGCGCAGAAAACTAGGAAGGGCTTCCCTGGGGAGGACGGGACGGAGAGAGGGTGGCAGAGCTGGAGCAGGTGATCTCAGCGGCTCCCCAGCCAGGCCTCGCTGCAGACTTGGGGGCGCAAGCA
Organism: Homo sapiens; assembly: GCF_000001405.40. Lineage (NCBI taxonomy): Eukaryota > Metazoa > Chordata > Mammalia > Primates > Hominidae > Homo > Homo sapiens. Next base: position 17,152 of record NT_187596.1, read on the forward strand.
CCGGACCACACAGCACGCCCACCCTCACTGTGGCCGGAAGATCAGAGGCATGCTGGCCGTGAAAGGCTGCCTGAGCCCCACAGTGGACACTGTGGCAAGTGTGGACCAATGGCCGATGTCTCAGCCCCACCCACTCCGGCCACCACGACACTGCACAGCCTGGACCCAGGCCAGTCCCTGTGTGAGCGTGTGTGCTTGGTGGCGTGTGTGTGCAGGCCTTGTGTGTGTGAGCATGTGCACTCTCAGTAGTGCGTGTGTGAGCGTGTGCATATGTGTGGGGGCGCCTGTGTGTGTGAGGGAGGCCCACGAGGTTGGCAGGCAGACAGGGGTGGGGGTGGGAGGAGAGGCACTGTGCCCTAAGACCAGCCTTGGGAGGGTGGGAGGAGAGGCGCTGTGCCCTGGTGTCTGGGGCCTGGGCCTGCCCCTCCTGGAGCTTGGGGTGGGTACTGGACGGGTTCTGGGACAGGGCGTCTTCCTGGTACTCATGCTGGAGAATCTACTGTGGGCCGCAGGAGGAAGAGGAGCTGCGATGAGGTGTTGCCAGGGCCAGGATTAGGGTTAAGGTTAGGGTTTGCCCCAGAGCCTCCTGGAATTCTACCCACTCAGCACCATCCTCCAAGGCCTGACAAATGCAGCCTCTGCCTGGAACCACTGTGGACCCCCAGGGAGTGGCTCACCAGCTGCTCCTCTCTGCCCCCCGGGGAGTGGTTTCACCTGCTGCTTCCCCAACCTCAGGGAGTGGCTCACCTGCTGCTCCTGTCCGCCCCCCCGGAGAGTGGTTTCACCTGCTGCTCCCCCCACTCCAGGGAATGGCTCACCTACTGCTCCCCTCCACTGGGAGTGGTTTCACTTGCTGCTCCTCTTCGCCCGCCCCCAGGAGTGGTTTCACCCACTGCTCCCCCCCGAAGGGAGTGGTTCACCCACTGCTCCTCCTGCTTGCCTGGGAGTGGTTTCACCAACTGCTCCTTCTCCCCCCAGGGAGTGGTTTCACCTGCTGCCCCTCCGCATCACCCCAAACTCACCCGCTGCTCACCCCCACCACCCCCTGCAGGCCTGGCTACTTAGAGAACCACCTGGGGAGCTTCAAACATCCACCCCCTCCAGCGACTGATGTGCGGGGTCCGGCTGGCCTGTGTCCTGAGTATCTGGGTCCTTAGCCCCTGGGGGACCCTCAGGCGAGGCCACGGTTGACAACCCCCTGCCTGATGTGTTGATCGGTCAGTGAGCTCCTGGTCTGCACACGGGCCGGCCACATCCTGGACTTCCCCGTGAATTCTCCAGCAGGGCAGCCGTGTGGTGGGATGCTGTCACCGCTGTCTGCTTTGTCTCATCGTCTGTTCCATTTCTCTTGCTTCTTACTTCAACTGTGGATTCTTACAGGGCAGAACTGCACGAGTCATCTTTGCACCTTGTCTAGTGTCCTGCACGTAAGGAAATCCAATACATGTGTGTTGACTGAAAGATTAACTTAAAAGTGTACATACAGATAAATGCATGCTTTCCCATTTGGAAGATGTGGTTATGTTTTGACTCAGACTTACCTGGTTTATATCTTGTTTCTCCCATTAGCTATTTGACATTGAAAAAAGTTACTGAATTCTGCGTGCTTCTGTTTCATCATCTGTGAAATGGGCGCCACATGGCAAGGCTGGGATGAGGCAGAAAGTGAAAGTGGCAGCCACAGCGTGAGGCATACAGTAGGCGCTCCATCCACGCTCATCCCGTCTCCCAAACCAGCCACAGGGTGAGGCATACAGTAGGTGCTCCATCCACGCTCATCCCATCTCCCAGACCAGCCACAGGGTGAGGCATACAGTAGGCGCTCCATCCACGCTCATCCCATCTCCCAGACCAGCCACAGGGTGAGGCATACAGTAGGCGCTCCATCCACGCTCATCCCATCTCCCAGACCAGCCATAGGGTGAGGCATACAGTAGGCGCTCCATCCACGCTCATCCCATCTCCCAGACCAGCCACAGCGTGAGGCATACAGTAGGCGCTCCATCCACGCTTGTCCCGTCCCCAGACCAGCCATAGGGTGAGGCATACAGTAGGCGCTCCATCCACGCTCGTCCTGTCCCCAAACCAGCCACAGGGTGAGGCATACAGTAGGCGCTCCATCCATGCTCGTCCTGTCCCCAAACCAGCCACAGCGTGAGGCATATAGTAGGCACTCCATCCACGCTCGTCCTGTCCCCAAACCAGCCACAGGGTGAGGCATACAGTAGGCACTCCATCCACGCTCGTCCCGTCCCCAAACCAGCCATAGGGTGAGGCATACAGTAGGCGCTCCATCCATGCTCGTCCCGTCTCCCAGACCAGCCACAGCGTGAGGTGCACAGTAGGTGCTCCATCCATGCTCATCCCGTCTCCCACACCCCAATTTGCCCAAAGCCTTCTGAAGGGTGTGGGAAACTTTCAGGAGTCTCTGTTGTTTCTGGGGCAACATCGGGGCTGTGAAAGGAAAATAAAATCTGGGGACTCCAATTCACCGCCAAAGGAAACCCTTAAAGCTGGAAGCTGAGCCCTGTGAGGAGAGGCCTTTCCTTGTGTTCCTGAGCAGGGAGCTGCCCAGCAAAGGCTCAGCGTCTTCACCAGCAGCTGCTCTGCGTTCCCCTGGCCTAGTGCAAAGTCCGACTTTCTGAGCCCAGGACAAATGCATCATTCACCATTGTCCTGCCTGTTCCTTTCTCCTGCAATGCATGGGTTCAGTCTCGCAACCAAACCTCCCTCTTTCCCCTCCAGCCTGCATTTCCCCTTTAAAATACTGAAACCCTCAAAATCATCTTTGGAGAAAGTCACAGAGCTCTCTCCCATGTGTGCCCTTAACCTTGGCAAATGAACCTCTCAATGGATTGAGGCCTGTCTCTCATGCTTTCTGGTTTACAGGGCCCATGTTCATGTGGAGAAAGTCAAGGTAGGAAACCTCAGGGCACTTTCATTTTCCTCTAGGCAGGAAGGAATCTGGAATTGGGAAGGACAGCAGGCATTTTTTCTAGCGGTTCTAGCGAATTATCTTCTTACTGTCAATAACAATTTATCCAGTCTCTCTAATTATCTTCAGTCCGGCGGAAGACAGATTTCCTCATCTAATTGCCTCTTGGAAGAGCTAAAGTAAATTAAATTTAAAAAAATACCCTGATCCCAGGTGACCGCCCCTGCCAAGCTGATCTGGGATTGCAGGAGAGGCGCTGTGGGCCACCAGCTTGGGGCCTGGGGCAGGAGCGGCTCCAGTGGCCAGATCCTAGCCAGCGTCCCTGCCCTGCAGTTAAGCACACGGGCTTTGGGGGTCCGTCCTGGGCCACAACAACCAACCTCCCAGAGCCTCAGTTTCTCGTCTTTGAAGGGGGACCGTGCTGAGATTGTTCAGGGATGGCTTTGGTTTCTGTTACTGAGGCTAAGGCCGGAGGTCCCGGCTCTCAACATGTTTTGCTCGTGTAGTCCTCAAAGAATTTTCAGAAATGTGCCATGTCAACTTTGCATCTAAAATACTTTTGGTTTAGTTGGAAAGGGCAGCAATGTACTCACATGCCGTTTAATGCATTTCCCACAGAACGGGGATCCACAGACGAGGTCCTTTCATCTCGGGGCTCATGGCAACACAGGCCGTGTGCGTGAGCCTGGTCGGTGCCTGAGTCTGCCCCGGCTCTGCCACTGCCTGCTGTGTGACCCTGGGCTGCTCACGCCACTGCCCGGAGCCTTGGCTTCCTTATCTTACACGGCAGTGGTGACAGCCCCTGACGCAAGGCTGTGGCGAGTTTGAACGTGGCGCCTGGAGCAAGGCTTGGCCGGAGTTCACCAAACAGACAAAGGCGACCTGGCTGGGGAGCCAGTCAAAGCGGTTGGCAGAACCGATCTGGCTTCTGTCAGAATTGTTAGGACGTCGGGAGGTGTCCAGTGATGACCCCTCCCTCTGGGTTCTCCGGCCCTGGCGGCTGGGCATGGATGAGGAGAAGGCTGGGCCCTGTGCGAATCCTCTGGGCACAGAATCCGCCGGGCACAGATTCCGCTGGGCACAGAATCTGCCAGACACAGAATCTGCCAGGCACAGACTCGGCGATTCTCCCCTGGAGCCCGGCCTTGCCCCATGCTGTGACTGCTTCTATGTTTGGGGCCCGAGGGTCACGCAGGGAGAGCTGCACCTCAGGGAGGCTGGGCTGGGGATGGGGTTGGCTCCTCTTGGTGGCAGTCGGGTGGGAAGGGGACGCAGTGGACCTGGGGCCCTGGACTCACCCAGATCTACTGTGGGAGAGATTGCATCTGGAAATCAGGGGTCTGGATGTGATTCCCTTAGGCAATTGCACCACCTGGAAAATGTTCGTACGCCCCCAGCATGGAGGTGTCCAAGACGCCGGGACCCTCAAGGTACTGTTGTGCGTCGAAGCCTAACACACACACGCTTATCCCATTACAGCTCTGGGGGCCCAAGTCTAAAACGGGGCTCACAGGGCTAAGAGGGAGGTGTGAGCAGGGCCACACTGCCTCTCCTGGCTCAGGCAAGAGTCAGCACCCCTGGCTCGCAGCCCTGCCCCTCCCTGACGCTGTCCTGCCATCATGTGGCCTTAGTGTCCTCTCTGGTCACACCTCCCTCCGCCTCCCTCCCTGGGGACCTCGTGGTTACATTCCGTTATCACTTGGACAGTCCCAGATCAGTCCCCGCCTCAAGGCCCTGACCCTAATCCCATCTGCAAAGTCACTGTCTCCGTAGCACGTCAGGTGCCCAGGGACAGGCACGAGATCCTGAGTGTGCTGGGATCTTCACTCAGCCAGGCACCCCCTCAAGCGAGGGACTGAGGAAGGAGTAGTAAAGGCCACCCAGCCACGCGCATAACCACGTTTCTCCCGTAAGATCGCGGTGCTGTGCTTTTACTGTGCCATTTCCAAGCTTGGATGTGTTTACATGCACAAATGCTTACTACAGCTCCTCCAGGGATCGGCGCAGGCACCTGCAGCACAGGTGTGCAGCCAGGGCCACACCGTGAAGCCTGGGCAGGCAGTGGGCCCTGCCCTCCAGCCGTGTGAGTCGCTGCGATGCTTGCACAGCGAGGGGAGCACAGCCATGGGAGCACAGCCACGGGAGCACCTCAGGACGCCTCCCTCAGCCATTGCTGTCCTTAGGCTTCTGTGGGAAGAGACTTAGGGTGTTGGTTCCCACCCTGGGCCCTGTTCTATCCCATTCCTGAGGGCCCAGGGACAGGGCTGTTCCCACGTCCGAGGAAAGCAGCTTCCAGGGGAGCAACGGAGGGGCCTGTCCCTGGGAGGGGCTCAGCCAGGCCGCAGGGACCTCACGAGGAGGCCTGGGATGAGGACACTCTCACCTTCCTCCGCCCCTTCATCTCCTGCTGGTGCCTGACTCTGTGGGCGCCCACGGGGCAGGCTCCGGGCCACTCCGGAGCGCAGGGCGGGTGGAGGAGGAAGGGTGTGGGGGCAGGTGGCGGGAACCACACAGGCCTCAGTGGAGCCGGTGCCTTCATCTCAGAGGTCCTCATGGCAGCACTGTTGCCCCAGGAGGTGTCTGGGGACATGTGTGGGGGTCAGGGTCTTGCTACAGGGCAGGGGCACCATGGGTGTTCGCCGTGGGGCTGGGAGGCAGAGCCTACACCTGGGCACAGTCCTGCAGACCTAGCACCCATGAGCCACGGCCGCCTCGCCTGCCCTCATGCTGGCCTCAGGTGCCCCTCACAGGTTGACACACCCGGCTTACTGTCCCCAGCACCACACTCCTCGGGGATGGCTGTGGCTGGCGTGGGTACTCTCTGCAGCTGTGCTGACCCCACAATGGGGTTGGCTTTGTGGGAGTCGAGCCCCATGTACGTCATCAAGGGCTTCCATGCCCTGGGCTATGTTGCTGCTGGTGGGACTGAGCCCTTGCTCAGACTGTGGGAAGAGCCACTTCAGGCCTCACCCAAGACAGCCCAGAGGCTGGAGTGGCCTCTCCCCACCAGGTCTGTGCAGGTCGGTGCCCCAGAGGCCCCGCTCACACAGGAACAGGGCGGCTGACTCCCTGCACCCCTGGGGGCCCCGTGAGGTGCTTCCTTCGAGGGTCATGGGGTGGAGTGGGCAGAGCACAGCTCCCAGGCGCAGGCCCGTGTGCCTCCCTCCAGCCCCCAAGTGCTCCTGGAAGTTTTCCCGGGGTCTCCACACATCTATTTATGTCTGGCCTGTTTGAAACAGGACCCAGCAGGGCCGTGTCCGGCACCTTGTTTATCTGCCCAGACTCTTCGGGCTGTGCATTTGTTGAAGCGTTGGCATCATTTGTTCCACAGAACAGCAGTTCTTCACGTGTGGTCCTTTGGGTGTTTTCAGGGGGGTCTCCAAGACCAGCACAGTCATCTCGGGCCCCTTGCCTTTTTCTCTGTGTTGACATTCGCGGCAATGGCAGAGGGCTGATGGTGGGACACCTGCTGGTGCCTGGGCCCAGATCAAGGTGGCTTTGAGCTCGTGAGGCTTCTCGCCACCATCGCCAGCAGCATTCGGCAGTGACGTTCCTTGTGATGGAGCTGGAGGTTTGCGCACAGTGCTTTGTGTGTGCCATGTGGGCGTCTGGCAGCCAAGCTGAACCAAGCTCCTTTATTCTTGCAACACCAGTTTCCATGGAACAAACAGCGAACAGCCCTGCATACCCAGGCTTGGGTGTTTTCCTGAAAACAACCAAGTAAGCCCATCCCTGTAAGGAAAACAGCTGGGAGTATCTGGCACCAATGATACAATGTTGAGCTTTCAAATGACAAGAGGAATTTTTGAAAACTTGTTTCTCGCATTGTGAGTGTGACAGCTTCCGAATAATTCTCCACATGACCAGCGTGTGATTCCTCAAAATCATGCATAGGTAAAAGACCCATTCAAAGAGCAAAGGGGGCCAGTGGATTTTCATGAACAAAACTCACGCTCAATGAATGCAGAAAGTTGTCTCCACACACAAGCATTTATGTGTTTGTGAATGTGTGTCTCTGTGTACGTGTGTGTGCATGCCTGTGTGTGCATGTCTGTGTGTGGTGTGAGTGCATGTGCACGTGTGTGCGCATGTGTTTGTGTCTGTGTGTGCATGTTTGTGCAGTGTGGTGTATGTGCATGTCTGTGTGCCTGCATGCATGTGTACGTGTGTGACTGCGTGTGTGTGCGTGTGTGTGCACGTGTATGTCCATGTTTGTGTGTGCATGTGTATGTGAGTGCATGTCTGTGTCTGTGTGGTGTGTGTACATGTGTGCATGCATGTTTGCATTTGCATGTGTGCATATGTGCATGTGTGCATATATGTGCACGTGTGTATGCGCATGTTTGGGTGTGTCTGTACGTGTGAGTGCATGTCTGTGTGGTGTGTGTACATGTGTGCATGCATGTTTGCATGTGTACGCATGTGCACATGTGTGCATATACGTGTGCATATCTGCATATGTGCATGTATATACACATGTGTGTAGGTGCATATTTGTGTGTGCATGTGTGGTTGCATGACTGGTGTGTGTACATGTGTGTGCATGTACATGCGTGCATCTGTGCGTGTGTGCATGTATGTGCACACGTGTGTATGTGCATGTGTGTGTGCGTGTGAGTGCATGTATCTCTGTGTGGTGTGTGAGTACGTGTGCATGCATGTGTGCGTGTGCACGTGTGTGTGCGTGTGTGTGCATGGGCACGTCTGTCTCTGTGGTGTGAGTGCATGTGTGTGCATGGGCATGTCTGTGTCTCTGTGGTGTGTGTGCATGTCTGCGAGTGTGCATATGTCTGTGTCTCTGAGTGGTGGGTGCACACGTGAATCCTCCTCCTTGATGCTAGCTGCTCTTACCAGAGCCAGTTCTTGTGGGGAAGCTGAGTGCTCTGTAACTCCCGTGTCTCAGCTCCCTTGCGTGGCCCCTAGAGGCAGACGTGGGAGGAATGCCGCAGCCTCGGAGAACCAGGTCTGGCATTCTTGGTGCTGGTCCCAGGGTCCCGAGGCCTGCTTTCCACAGTCACGCTGTAGAGACGGCTCCTTGTGGAGACACCTTCTGTGTGCAGGCACGAGGTTTCTCCTCTGCCCCAGGCTTCGGTGCGGAGTGTCTGGGGGGACAGAGCCACCAGATGTGAACGCTGTGCTAGTCGCCCTCTCTGGTCTCTCCCTTGGCGTGGCCAGACTCCCCGGTGCATCTGGACATCGTGGCGGGCAACTGCCATTTACAGACACGGGAGGACGTTTTGCATGACCCGCCTTCTGTGTGTTTTCCCACTCTTTGCAAACCCATTGCTTTTCAGCTCGGAGAGTTGCTTTCCAGTTGTGCCAGCTCCGTGGCTGAGGAGGCGGTTTCTTTCCCGTTGTGCCGGCTCCGTGGCCGAGGAGGCGGTTTCTTTCCGGTTCTGCCGGCTCCGTGGCCGAGGAGGCGGTTTCTTTCGGGTTCTGCCGGCTCCGTGGCCGAGGAGGCGGTTTCTTTCGGGTTCTGCCGGCTCCGTGGCCGAGGAGGCGGTTTCTTTCGGGTTCTGCCGGCTCCGTGGCTGAGGAGGCGGTTTCTTTCCGGCCGCGCTGGCTCCGTGGCTGAGGAGGCGGTTTCTTTCGGGTTCTGCCGGCTCCGTGGCCGAGGAGGCGGTTTCTTTCGGGTTCTGCCGGCTCCGTGGCCGAGGAGGCGGTTTCTTTCGGGTTCTGCCGGCTCCGTGGCTGAGGAGGCGGTTTCTTTCCGGCCGCGCTGGCTCCGTGGCCGAGGAGGCGGTTTCTTTCGGGTTCTGCCGGCTCCGTGGCTGAGGAGGCGGTTTCTTTCCGGCCGCGCTGGCTCCGTGGCTGAGGAGGCGGTTTCTTTCCGGCCGCGCCGGCTCCGTGGCTGAGGAGGCAGTTTCTTTCGGGTTCTGCCGGCTCCGTGGCTGAGGAGGCGGTTTCTTTCCGGCCGCGCCGGCTCCATGGCTGAGGAGGCGGTTTCTTTCCGGCCGCGCCGGCTCCATGGCTGAGGAGGCGGTTTCTTTCCGGCCGCGCCGGCTCCATGGCTGAGGAGGCGGTTTCTTTCGGGTTCTGCCGGCTCCGTGGCTGAGGAGGCGGTTTCTTTCGGGTTCTGCCGGCTCCGTGGCTGAGGAGGCGGTTTCTTTCCGGCCGCGCCGGCTCCATGGCTGAGGAGGCGGTTTCTTTCCGGCCGCGCCGGCTCTGTGGCCGAGGAGGTGGTTTCTTTCCCGTTGTGCCGGCTCCGTGGCTGAGGAGGCGGTTTCTTTCTGGTTCTGCCGGCTCTGTGGCCGAGGAGGTGGTTTCTTTCCCGTTGTGCCGCCTCTGTGGCTGAGGAGGCGGTTTCTTTAAGGTCTTTTCTGTGCTGATGTTTTAGCTTTACTGAGATTTTGTTGCTTATCACACAATTCACCATTGAAGTGTCCTGGGCTGATCTGATGCCGATGGCCTCCGAGTCAAATGCTCTCTAAAGGAAATTCTCAGAAGATCTCCGGGGAAAAGCACACATAATTTATAGAATTAGAAAGCAAAGGATTTGTAAGACATCACAAGGAATTCAGTTACCAGTTAGGACTGGTCACCTCCAAACTTAAGTACAAAGAACTTATTTACTTCTTCCAAGGAAATTTATTTGGGGGATTTTTTATGTGGCCATGATGATGCTGTCAGTGGCCGAAGCTGCATTCTGGCAACTCCAGATCCTGGGTGACTTTGCCTAGCTCTGCCCGGCCTGGTGTTGCAGGAAATACGCTAATTCCAGGCACGGAAGCTGGGAGTGCATCCGGTCTGGGGAGACTTTGCCTTTCTAAGAGGCTCTCAGTGCTGTTGATGGTGCACATTCGACCTTTGAGACTTGGAGAAATCAGATTGCAGAAATGATGCAGAGCACCTGAGCAGAACCAATCTGGCGTGAGACACACACGCACACACACACACAATCAGGCGCACCCACCCACACATATACACACACAGGTACACAGTCATGTGCACCCATCCACATACGTGCAGTCATGCACACAGCCCTGCACACAGACCTACACATACACATGCGTGCACACAGACATGCACACACACAGTAGGGGCCCTAAGCAGGCGTCCTTAGCCTTTCTGCTCTGAGCTCTGCAGCATCAGAACCTGCTGCCATAACTGAGCCAAGTGAACTCCTGAAGCAGGAGCATCCCCGGGCGTGGCAGGGGAGCGCCCACCACCAAGATTCTGCTGCTGTGCTCGGGGGCAGTTGTGCCTTTTCTGTTTTTCTTTCTTTCTATATTTCCAGGAAATCATGACATTAAAAATGACTTTTTCTTATGACGAATATTCATTGTAGGATATTTAGTGAAAATTCACACAATAAAAACTGTGATTCGTTTGTGCTCTCCGAGTTTCTGGGTTTCCTTGCATTTTTCTGGCAGCTTCTATTCTCTCTGGGTGCTTCCGATGCACACATCGCAGATCCCAGGATGATCTTCCTGCCTGGCACGGCTGCCTCCTCCACGCCACCCCTCATTACCTGTGGTCTAGGAAGACCACCAGTTCCCATTCCAAGCTGCCCAAATAGCTGCGAAATATCTGCTGAAGTAAGAGGAAAAGGTTCGTTATCTTTATTATCGCTTGTTCACCTTCCAGCCTCCCTGTAGTGAGGGTCCTGTCCTGACACAGTGATCCCTGTGGCAAATTCTATTTTCCCCAAATGACCACATCACCTTTCTATTTCCCACACACAAGGAGAGGCTCTTCCTTCTTCCTTTGAATTTTGTCACCGGGCTGCTGAAGAGAAGGCAGCAGAGGTGACACAGCGTGAAGCTGAGGCTGGGTTGCAGAAGGTGCCACAGACTCCACCCGGCTCTCTCTCTTGCCCAACGTTCCTGGGAGTCCAGCCCCCATGTCATGAGGAAGCCCACGTCACCTGGAGAGGTTACAGGCACAGCCACAGTCAGCCACGCGCCAGTCCTGGGAGCCACCCTAGCTCACCCTGAGTGGAGCAGAGGCAGGGTGTCCACTCCTGGCCTTGCCCAAATTTCAACTCCAACTAAATAAATGTGGTTTTTTAAGCCACTGAGTTATGGGGTCATTTGTCCCACAGTTGTAGTAACCGGAATGACCTCCAAGGACCTGTCCCACTGTAAAGATTGGCAATCCTATGACTTCTGTCTCCTGGACTCCTCCCAAGCCTGAATCCCTTCCCGGACGCTCACAGGTCGCAGCGTATCTTGGGTAACCCCATCCACTGCCCCCATCAAGCCAGCCCCCGACCTGTCTCCTGTTTCCCGGAGCTTGCTCAGAGATAACAGATTCATCCGATCCTCCAGGAAGGGCCCGAGCGGCCTGGCTCCCTGCCCTCCAGCTCTTAGCTCTGTGTGTCTCTCCTTGCGGGAGCCCTCCCTGCGACACCTCCCGCTGCCTCTCAGCGCTGAGCTTAACACGGTGGCATCACCTGGGAGGGCTCAGTCTTTCTGTCTCTTCTCCATCAGCCTCTGAGCTCCATCAGGGCCCCAGGTCAGTGATCACTCCTGTGCTTCCACAGCCCAGCGCCAAGCCCAGCCCTGCTCTGGGCCTGGACAATGCTCAGGACAGGACAGTGTGGGAGTCAGCCCCTGGCCCTGACCCTGGCTCTCGGAGCCAGCGCTGTTGCTTCCCTACCTCACTGGATGTTGCAGGAATGGGTTAGAGATCTGAGGACCACGGAAAGTTAGGGGTGAGGGGAGGATGAACCAGTCATGGGGAACCCCGGTATCTCTGAGTGAGTAGAGAAGGAAGGTGGTGCTGGCGGGAAGGAAGGACAGGTGCTGGCTGTGGGTTCCAGCCACTTCCGAGGTGCAGGCCTGGGGAGAGGAGGCAGGTGGGGCCTGCTCAGGGAGCCCCTGAAGAAGTTCTGAGTTGGCTGTGCTCCAGTTGGCCCCTGCACATTCCCCATGCCAGGCAGGCGCTTTTTCTCCTCTTTAAAAAGGCATTCCCTGAGCCTGGTGGAATGAGACAAACATGGAAATCCCTGGGCTGCTCTCAGTGGTGGAAGAGGTTGGGCACCCTGGCGGCTTAGGGTGGGACTCGGCCTGCAGAGCCAAGCAGGCGCCCTTTTTCCTCCTTTTCTTTTCCTTTCGTCCATTTAATTTTTAAAATATAACAGACTGTGGCCGGGCACAGTAGCTCTCGTCTGTAATCCCAGCACTTTGGGAGGCCCAGATGGGAGGATCACTTGAGCCCAGGGGTTTGACATCAGCCTGGGCAACATGAGGAAACCCCATCTCTACAAAAAGTATAAACCTTAGCTGGGTGTTGCAGCACACGCCTGTGGTCCTAGCTACTTGGGAGGCTGAGGTGAGAGGATCGCTTGAGCCTGGGAGGTGGAGACTGCAGTAAGCTATGATCATGCCACTGCACTCCAGCCTGGGCCACAGAGCCACAGCATGTCTCAAAAAACAAAAAAGTGACAGACTGCAAACAAAGGCACACCTGGGTAGAGGATGCACAGGAGCTCCTTGCACTATCCCTGCAAACCACCTTTAGGTTTGAAAATAGATAAAAATAAAAAGTTACAAAAAAGTAATCATCTATTTTAAACATCCAGAAAAGTATAGAGAATAATATAACATCCCTGTCCACACCATCTAGCCTTAATGGTATCTCAACATTCCCCCTTTTTTTACAAGTCTTTTAACTTTTTTAAAGAAAGAAGATTTCACAAATAGAGTTTAAGCCCCTAGACATAGTTCCAAAGCTGTTCAGCTTGTCCACCCAGACAGAGAATCACAGTTCTGGATGAAGCATGCACTCTCCCCCAGCATGTTCTTCTACTTTACTTACACAGTATCCATGCATCTACACACATGACTCACGGTGTCCATGTATCTGCACACACATGACTCATGGTGTCCATGTATCTGCACACACAAGGCGGTGTCCATGTATCTGCACACGAGACTCACGTCCGTGTATCTGCACACATGAGTCACGGTGTCCATGTATCTGCACACACGAGACGGTGTCCATGTATCTGCACACGAGACTCACGTCCGTGTATCTGCACACATGACTCAACGTGTCCGTGTATCTGCACACAGGACTCACGGTGTCCGTGTATCTGCACACAGGACTCACGGTGTCCGTGTATCTGCAAACATGACTCATGGTGTCCGTGTAATCACCTCCTACTGTTTCATCATATCCTATAACCAGTTTCTCAGCTTCCATTCTGCTATCCTACAACTACTCTCCAGTAATCCTATGTGTAGGACCCTCCAATAACCCCCACATCACTCGGAGCAAAGGCCAGAGGCCCTGCGGCTCACCCCTGATGTCCTCCACCTGGTCCCCACAAGCCTCTGGCACCCTGGTCTCCTTGCTGCTCCCCCTGGGCCTGGATGGCTCCACCCCAGGGCCTTTGCATGGAGGTTCCTTTTCCTCAGACCCTCTGCCCCAGATGTCTGGGTGAGCAACCACCTCCACGCCCTCAAGCTTGGTCTTCAACATCACCTGTCAACAAGCTCTCTTTTCACTACTTAAAAACCACAGCTCCCTCCCTCTCCCACACTATACTTTCTATTTTGTTTCTTTACCTCTCTTTCCTTTTTCTGTGGCCTGCATTACCTGGCTGTGTATGTATGTATGTGTGTATGTGTGTGTATGTATAAGTGTGTATGTGTGTGTATGTGCATGTGTGTGCATGTATGTGTGCATGTGTATGTGTGTGCATGTGTGTATGCATGCATGTGTGTATGTATATGTGCATATGTGCATGTATGCACGTATAAGTGTGTATGTATGCATGTGTGTATGTATGTGTATGTATGTGTGCGTGTATGTATGCACACATGTATGCATGTGTGTATGTGCATGTATGTATGCGTGCATGTATGTATGCACACATGCATGCATGTGTGTATGTATGCATGTGTATATATGCATGTGTGTGTATGTGTGTATGTGCATGCATGTGTGTATGTCTGCATGTGTGTATGTGTATATGTGTGTGTGTATTCCATAGCATGTTGCCCTCTGACATGCTGTGCATTTTTCTTGTTTATTGTATTATTATTCATGGCCTCACTTCCCCACCAGGATCCTTGTTTACGTTGCTCATTGATACATCCCAAGTACCTGGAACAGTGTCTGGTATATCGCGGATGTTTAGTAAGTCTTGAGAGGCTCACTGAGTGAACAGTGTTAATTTTCATGGTTTAAAACTTTATATAAATGGTACCATACTCGCTGCCGTACTTGCTGTCGTACTCGCTGCCGTACTGTGCACTTGCATTTTTGCTCCGCGTTCTGTTTTTGGCATTTATCCACATTGATCCATGTAGCTCTCATTTATTTTAACTGCCATGTGGTATTTCGCTGTATATGCCCATTTCTTTATCGCTTCTCCCCGTGTTGGATATTCAGGGTGTGTCCGGTGCTTTGGACACACAGTGTTGTGAGGAATATTCTGTACGCATCTTCTAGCACATGCATACTTCTTGTGGTAGTTTCTCTCTCACAGTGGATGGCCTATTAGAATGACTAGGGAATTCTTAGCTATTAGTTTGTTCCCAGAAGTTCTGGTTCAATTGATCTGGTCTGGGTTCAGTGCTGCAGAAATGTTTTTTCTTTTAAAGACATTCCTGGATGACTTTAACGACAGCCGGGGTTGAGAACCACGGCTCCTGGCTCGAAGGAGCAGATCTATGTTTGTGTTCTTGGGCATATCTAGAAAGAGATATGCTTTCTTTCTGGCTTGTCATCTACTTGCTTCAATTTTCCTAAAGGTTGCTTTCAAAGTGGTGGCACCATGCGTGATCCCAGCGGTGAATGCAGATTCCCACGTTTTCATTAACATTCTTTAAGTTGTTTGACCCTTGGGGTTTTCTGATAGGATGAGGGTGAAACGCATCCTCTTGTTCCCACAGCGTTCCCCTAATTCCGGGGGCTGAGTTTATTGATCGTTCAAGCATCTTCTTTTGTGACGGGACCGCTGATGTCCTTGACTCAAAGATGTTAAAAATACGTTTAGAAGGATCTTTATTTTTTCCTGCTGCTGTACGAGGCACCCTTTCTGGCCCCGTGTTTCCTTGCCCTTCTTTCCAGCAGCAGATTTTACTCAGAACAACTTCAGTGCTGTGGACACAAAGACGCAGGCCTTGGAGAGGCGGGTCAGCCCTGCCTCGGGGCTGCTGAGTGAGGTGCCAGATGCGTTTGTTCCTCATTTACTCATTTGCGTTTGTTCCTCATTTACTCGTTCCTCGCAGACTGGGTTGTAACACCATGTACCACCCTCTGAACCCAGAGATCAAGGGCTGGCTGGCCCTGTAGCCCCAAGGAGCTCCGTCACCGGCCAATGGGGAGGCGAACCCGTGGTGACCCACTCAGCGGCACCGCCAAGGGCTGAGCGTGGCGCCAGCGGCGGAAGGCCCGGGGTCACCGTCCCAGGCCGGGGCTCCGACCCCGAGTCCGCAGGGTCCTCTCCAGGCACCTTCCATCTGGGGTCTGGCTTCCACTCCCGGCCGCGGCGTCCTGATTTCCAGAAACCAGGCGGCCGCTGGAGGGGAGAAGGGGGAGCGGGCGCAGCGGGGGAGGGAGGAGAAGAAACGCCGGAGAAGGGAGAGTAGAGCGAGGAAGGACGCGAGGCGGGCGGAGCGCGGGGAGGTGCAGGGGGCGGGGAAGGGGCGGCGCCGCGAGGGCGGCTCCTGGCGGCGGGACTGTGGCTGTGGCCCCGGGAGAGCCGGGTGGGGCCTCGGGATGCAGCCGCCGGTGCCCGGGCCCCTGGGCCTGCTGGACCCCGCAGGTGAGCGCGGGGCTGGGGGCTCGTCTCGGCTCCTGCGGGGGAGCGTGGGGACCCCGGGGCTGGGACTACAGGTCCCCGGCCGGCCCGGGCGGAACCTGCGCGGAGACGCGGCACGGGGTCTGGTCCCTCCGCCTCCTTCGAGCTCTGTCTTTGGAACACTTTGCATTTCGCACTGGGGTCGGGCGTTCGTCCTACCGGTTCGTTCATTCATTCTCTCTCCCTGTCTCTCTCTCTGTCTCTGTCTCTGTCTCTCTCGCTCTTTCTGTCTCTGCCTCCTCAGTCTTTGCCTTTCTCTGACTCTGTGTCCGTTCCTCTTGGCCTCTCTCTCCCTGTTACGTTTTATTATGAGGAACAGGCGCCCCAAAGTGCGCTCCTTCCCCATCTCTTCCGTTTATTCCAACCTACACCATTTTCCGGGAAAACTTCGTTTGGAAGAGCGAGGTAGCCTTTTCCTGTTTGAACGTGCAGAGGCGCTCACAGAACTGGACAGTGTTGCTTGGTTTCGGCTCGCCCCTCTCTCGTGTTTCTCCCCGGTGTGTTCACGGAATCTCCAATTCTTCCACTTCCCAGACCAAGCCCGCTGCAGCCTCGGAGCCAGGCAAAGGCTGGGAAAACAGGAAACCTGTTGCGTGTTCACCAGTTCGCAAGCCGGGCTCGGGGGCTCTGCCGGGAAGTGGCCAGGACTGGAAGGATGCCGGGTGTCTTCCTGAGGGGGAGAGGGCTGGGCAGATTTCAGAACAAAAGAGAAACAGAGTTCCCTAGAAAGTGAAGCCCTGACGGCTGGAGGGAGGGATGGAGTGGTGTCTAGGGGGCTCTGCCGCTCCCTCAGAAATAATCCAACACAAACTTCTGGGGATTAACCTCACAACCCTTTTACTGCGGCATCGTTCGGAACCGGACGAATTACTGTTACTTAAAATAATCAAATAATTTGGCTTCTTTCTAAAAGAAACCACTATATGCCTTCCAATCTAAAGCAAAATGCTCTATGGTCAAATGTATTAATGTGGATTAGTCTATTGGTGTTTAATAATGATAACTATTATTATTATTTATTAACTAGTTTTATCATTATTAGAATGCCTTAATGTTTAAAAATAGCATCTGACTTAGATTTTCTTCTGACAAAGAACTTTAAACCTTAAAACAATACTTGGAGCTGGTCTTTTTAGTATATGAAACATTGGTGTATCTGGGTAGGATTATGGGTCTTTTTGTTTGGAGCTGGTCTTTTACTAAAATGTATAAAGCATTGGTGTGTCTGGGGTTGGATTATGGTCTTTCTGCTTTGGTGTGTCGGGGTGGATTATGGTCTTTCTGCTTTGGGGTATCTGGGGGTGGGTTATGGTCTTTCTGCTTTGGGGTATCTGGGGGTGGATTATGGTCTTTCTGCTTTGGGGTATCTGGGGGTGGATTATGGTCTTTCTGCTTTGGTGTGTCTGGGGGTGGATTATGGTCTTTCTGCTTTGGGGTATCGGGGGTGGGTTATGGTCTTTCTGCTTTGGGGTATCTGGGGGTGGATTATGGTCTTTCTGCTTTGGTGTGCCTGGGGGTGGATTATGGTCTTTCTGCTTTGGTGTGTCTGGGGGTGGGTTATGGTCTTTCTGCTTTGGTGTGTCTGGAGGTAGATTGTGGGTTTTTCTGCTTTGGGGTATCTGGGGGTGGACCATAGTCTTTCTGCTTTGGGGTACCTGGGGGTAGGATTATGGGTTTTTCTGCTTTGCCCTTCTTTGTTCACTACCCTGGGCATGTGTAAAATCAGGACGAAAGAGGAATTGACGGCTGAGTGATTACAGTTTTACCTGGGATTGTTACTTGGACACCATGACTGGTGTCCCCACATGATTAAATGGAACTCACTCTTCTTTTTGGGCGTTCCAGGTCCGGCTGGCAGGAAGGCCGGATCTTAGAACCCTTCCAAGCAGTGCCACCTCCCATGCTTTGTGACATTCCCCTTCCTGGCTCTGTGGAGTAGAGGAAATGGGTCTGAGGGGCAGGAAGAACCTGACCTCCAGCCTCGCGTGTCTTCCAGGTAGGACCTGGCGTGGGCACAGGCTCATGTGGTTCAGCTCCTCCAGCTAAGGCTGGGGAAGGAGCCAGGAAGGGGAGAGCAGGTGGGATGGGAGAAGTGGGGGCTGGTGGGGAGTGACAAGGTGATATTCTGAGATATCCTAGATGGGCTGCACCTGGGGAAGACTAGAATTAGAAAAATCAGCGCACTTGATAGCAGAGAGGTAGCTGTTGGCCCCTTCAGCTTCACATCTCAGAACTCCTCCTTGCAACTCCAGTGGGAGAAATGCTGGTTAAGAATAGCCGCTACGCCGTCTTAAAGTTCACACCACCCTGATGATTAGCATATGCATTCCATTTACAAAAACCTATATGAGAGCCCACGTATCGTGTCTCACTGGACGCTTATCACAATCTCAAGAGGTGGGTGAGCAGGTGGTTCTCATGATTTCCATCCTACAGGTCAGGAGACTGAAGTGCCTTCATTCATTCCGTACCAGGAGATGTGTCTATGTCCTCATCTGAGCCCCGGGAACCGGCGACAAACAAGAGACAGAGCTCTTGGCTCTCATAGGGTTCTCTTCTCCCAGGCTCAGGGAGATTAAATGGCCGCCCAAGACCACACAATGGGTCTGGACAGACCCAGAATGGTTTGGGTCCAGTCCCTGTAAGCTGCCTCTGCAATAGAAACCTATTGGTAGATATTTTAATTAATAGTTGGGGCACTTAGGAGCACTTTAATTTTCACAGTGCGTGTAATAACAGTATTTCCGGGACAGGAAAAAAAAAAAAATCAAGGAAATTATTCAGGTGATTTTAATTATCTTTCTCCTAAGTGAAAGCCCCTTTCTCTTGAAAATCTGACCTTATAATTATCTCTTATGCTAATTATAAAGATATCCCACCTTCTTTTCTTGAGTTTATTTTTTTTCTCATTTTTATGCTGTGTCATGTATTTATAGAATGTGTTTAAGGTTGGGAGTCTTCTTTTTGTTATCTCTATTATATCTGGAGTCAAAATATCACCATTGTGTAATTGAATGAGATGATTTGCAACCATTGCTCCCAGTGCCCCATGTAAGTTCTACTGTCTTTCTAGACTTGTATAATCTAGGAATCTGTGATAGGAATGCTGATAAAAGGGTGGCTCATACCTTCTGCTTTTTATTTTGTAGCAGATGGGGGGGAAGTTAGACTCAGGAAAGAGGGGTAAACATAGCAAAGTTAGGTTGAAAATGGTTTGTAGGAGGATTTACGTGGTTTCAGAGGAGATGTGTCTAACTCTTCGCATAGTAATTAACAAGTCAGCATGTTACCGATTGACTTGACAAGGTCAGTTAGCCCAGTGGGTCTTGCTGGGCCCCCACTCTTCATGCCAAGGAACCGAGCAGAGCTTCCAGCTTTAAGAACCAGAATCCAGTCACAGGGTTCCTGACAGACGGACGCCCACAGGAGGCTGGGACAGGAGCCCCACGGAAGGTTCTACCTGTGGGTCGAAGCAGACGCTGAGTCATCTGGTTAACTATTTTGAGCATAATATTATATGCATGCAGTGCATTTAATTAAGAAAAATCGCACAACAAAATCCTTTGAGAAGGACAGCGTTTGTCTGATAATTTTCTCAAATACTTAGTCCCATAAAATTTAGTTTTAGAAATTGTATTGCTCTTAAAATACATTTAAACAGTCAAAAGATTGGAATGGGAGCCTAAGGAAAAGCAGGAAAGGCTGAAGCGGGAATTGTGTGAGTTGAAGGCACCTAGCATTTGGCTGCATTGGCAGGTGTTACATGGAGGCTGGTGAGGGTGACCTGGAGCCTCTGGTCATGATCAAATGAGATAAGGAAGTTAGGCTGCTCTGAAAATCGACACACAGCCCAATCCATAGATGGTGTTATTATCATCAATATGATTATTTTGTGTAATTCCACAATAGCTGTTTCATTAACTTCCAAAATGTGGAATTGCATATATTTTTAAATTTTGTGTCCATTTTTAAAAAGTTTACCTACCTTTCTAAAACGAATCAACCAGAACGGAGTTTCACCCACGGGAGGTGCCTGCCTTCCTCTTGCCCACTTGCTCCCAGCGTGGGTTTGCCGTTTCTCACCTCGACTTCCCGACAGAGACCCGGGATCTGTCGCCATCGCTCCTGTCTCTCGGGCAAACGACCGTGAACATATAACCTTTCAGGTTTTTAACAAATTGCAAGATTTCAGTGAAAAAATTACTATAAAGCATTGTGGTCCTAATTTAAGAAAAAAATGTTTTAAAAAGTACATAGTGCATTGAAAAAAGACCATAAGATTTTATGCCTACTTGTTAATTTAGGTTACCATGAATTTTATTTTCCCTTTTGCATTTTTCAGTACTTTATGAGTGTTCTACAAAAAATCACTCTGCTCTTCTGAGCAGCGTAAAAATCACACTTTCCAACATATACCCACTGTCTCCCTTTTCCTTGTAAGAAT